>NC_000006.12:156585941-156737456 GCF_000001405.40 Homo sapiens
GCTCAAGAGCCCTGGTAGCAAAGTCTTTGGAAGCTTAAGTACTCCCTAGAGGTTTCTCGTTGCTTACACCCTATGTAAATGAAGGACTGGCTCGCAGCCAACTAGAGGCTGAGGTGAATTGGCCCATGGCCAATCCAAGACTGATGTAGTTTGGTGCTTTATGCAAAGGAAGGTCCTAGAATGAACCAATCATTGGCCAGAGTGCAGATTTGGCCTGTGGTCAATCAGAGGCCGATGTGGTTTGGCATCTTATGCAAATGAAGGTCCTGGAATGGGCCAATCATAGGTCAGTGTGCAGACTCCTCAGCTCCAGGGAGCCTGTCCAAGTCGTCCTTAGATTCCCTGTCTCCAGACCCTATTCCCCTGCCTCAGTTACACAAATAAAATGAATTCATGTTACAGTATTAATATAATACTAATTCTGAGAATTTCAGAAATAGCCCAAATTAGGGTTGACTTCTAGGTCTTTGCCTCTGTAAATACATGTGATATCAATGACAGTAAAGTATCAAGGCATCAGAAGACCTTGACCAAAGACTTTTACCTCCCTTTTTTCTGTAATCAATAGATTCAAGCAAAAGTCAACCCACACTACTGAAATATGAATTTTTTTTCAAATATCTGAATAGTCCTGGATTATTCAGCTGACACAGCCTACTTGGATTATTCAGCTTACAGACACAGAGGAGTTTTCCATGGACTTGGCCTAAAAGTATCCAGGTGGGGAGAGAGATGGGAGGTTCTAGTTCCTTTTATTCCCCCTTTGGGGAAGAGACAGGAGATTAGGGCTTTTAATTATTTGAGATGCTGTTGGGCAGGTGACTCCCTGCATTTCAACTAAATCATAAAACAACAAACTAGTAAATTTCCCAAAAAAAGAGATATTTTGAAGAAGTAAATGTTCTGATGTGACTATTCTCCCATGTTGCAAGATTTAAGTATCTTTGGAAAATGGATTCATAGATCTTGGTGTAATTGGAATAAGAATAGTGACTAATTTCTTTGCTCTCAAAAGAACCCCAAAAAGAATTGTGACCCAGTAATAGCAGATGATCTTGAGAATTTTTCAGGGATCCCCAATAACATCAACTAATTGAATTTAAAAAAAAAAGAAAGAAAGAAAGAATACACAGGGTAACAGGAAACAACTAACTCCTAATTCTAGGAGTTTTAGGCACATTTACAGCCTGGCAGCTTTGGGATTGAGAATAAGACATTTAAAACCCCACCACATAAACTGAAAAACATACATTCATTTTTATCTTATAACCTCACCTCATGTGACTGCCCAGATATGAATTTGTTAGTGCTCAACTCTTGATAAGTCCCTAACTTCTTTTGTTTCAGTTTCCTCCACTACAGAAGATTTGTAACAGATCAGTGTTTCTCAAATGTTAATAAGCATCAAAACCACCTGAGAGGTTGTATTAAATGCACACTCCTGGGCTTCCACCCAGGTAACTGGATTTATTAGTTTAAGGATGGAGCCCAGAAATTGGTCTTTTATGCTGTCTCCTTAGGTGATAGATCTGAAACACACTCAACCAAATGATATTTTATATTTATCCCAGCTCTAACAGTTTATGATAAGCCATTTAAAAGTGAGGCTCGAGTTGGAAGTGGTATCACTAAAGCTATCAACACTTGAATGAGAACAAAACAAAGAAATGAAAGTTTCAGGAAAAGGTCTTTGAGGTCATAGCCAGAAATATTCTGGTTAATTTTTCATCACTACATTTAAACAACTAGACAACTTAAAATTACATTACTTTAAGTGTCATCATATCCAATCTTCACAGGTAAAAGATTTACTTTTAAACAGAAAATCTACATTTAACCATAGGGATGAAAAACAACACCTTTTCTGCAGTTGATTTCCTGGAAAATGTGCATTTTTTTACATTAGATATTTAACATAGAATAAATACCAGGACCAACTTTTAAAATATGTGGAAGCTGGGCATGTTGGCTCATGCCTGTAATCCCAACAACTCAGGAGGCTGAAGCGGAACGATCACTAGAGCCCAAGAGCTCAAGGCTTCAGTGAGCTATGATTGTGCCACTGCACTCTGGCCTGGGAACAGAATGAGATCTGCCCGTCTCAAAGAGAGAGAAGAGAGAAAGAAAGACAAGAAGAGAGAGAAAAGGAGGGAGGGAGGAAGGAAGGGAGGAAGGAAGGAAAAAAGAAAGGGAAAAGAAGGTTACAGTGTGGTTTAAGAGCACCAAGAATTGCATTGATCATCTTCAGTGCCCAGAGACTACCCAGACTTACTGAAACTTGAAATTCCACAATGGAAGTTCTATTCCTTTCTTTTTAATCCATGCCCATGACTCTAGCTGAGTTTTTAAAGTCCATGAGGAAGGTAATCTATTAAACCTGGGGTGGTAATAAGCGGCTCCTAAGCGCCCACTTCCCCAGGCCCCATCCATGTAGACATTGATAATTGATCACAGCACTCTTTCCTCTAAGCCAAGATGAGGCTTCAATTCAATGCTCAGGGCAGCCCCTTTCATTTGTCTGGAGTTGCCCTAAATTTTATGTCACTTACAATATTCGATAAACATTTATTGTTGTTGACTATGTGCCAAGCAGAACGCTCAGATGATCGCCTAAGAAGAGAATAAGGAAGTGTAGAAATATATACCAAAAGGCACCAATGACAAGCTCTGTCCTACTTTTTTGTCCTCTGGTGTTGCCAAGAGTCGGCCAGAGTAAAGAGGCAGCTTGTGCCCATTTTTGGTAGAAAAACAAATACATAAATTATACTATATCCACAGAGTGAAATAACACCCAGCAGTAAAAACTCACCACAGCTACTTGTTATAAGATGAATGAATCTTACGGCAGGGCGCGGTGGCTCACGCCTGTAATACCAGCACTTTGGGAGGCCGAGGCGGGCAGATCACGAGGTCAGGAGATCGAGACCATCCCGGCTAAAACGGTGAAACCCCGTCTCTACTAAAAATACAAAAAATTAGCCGGGCGTAGTGGCGGGCGCCTGTAGTCCCAGCTACTTGGGAGGCTGAGGCAGGAGAATGGCGTGAACCCGGGAGGCGGAGCTTGCAGTGAGCCGAGATCCCGCCACTGCACTCCAGCCTGGGCGACAGAGCGAGACTCCGTCTCAAAAAAAAAAAAAAAAAAAAAAAGATGAATGAATCTTAGAACGCGATGAAAGATTGAAATAAAAAACTGAAAAGAAAAAAGAGCTAGTCCCAGAAGACCCCATGAGGAACATACAGGGAAGGGTAATGAAAAACAGAAGTCACTTTCAATGTTCTATCAATTGGGTTGGGTGGTGAATCTTCAGATATCCATTATTTTACAATAAACAATAAAAGCTGTGCATGGATCAATAATGAGAATGTGCCATAAAGCCAGGATTGTGGCTAATCAAATCCCCCACCCCCCCACCCCCACCCACTGAGGTCCATTCTTGGGGAGAAAAGACATATTGTAGCAACTTTGTTAAGAAAGCCAGACTAAGGATCATAAAAGCTACTGCCTACATGCTCCTTGAACCAAACCTCAGGAATCCACCTCACCACAAGAATTCATAAGATAGACTTTTACAGACAAAGAGCATTGCAGAAAGGGCAAATGCATGAAGTTCAAGTTACTGGTATGAAAAAAATCCTAGAAGCCAAAAAGTCTTCGGCCAATATGATGAACTAATTCATGTTACTGATATTTTCTTTACTTTTGAAAGGAAGTTTGGAATACCCTAAGGAGCACTTTAGTTCTGAAATTGCTAGAGTAAATAAAAGAAATGTTATATAACTCATTTGTAAAAGAACAAGAGGACAATATTAACAGATTGACAGTATTCATAGGTTAATTAGGAAACCCGTTGATGCTGTTAAGAAACTTGGCATATTTTAATTTAGATTGACGTTCTTCAAGATATAGGTAGAAGTGATGTTCATTCAATAATAGATGTCACACAGTCTGTGAGAGACTGATTTCTAGAAAGAGCTTACAGTCAAGTAGTACATAAAATGTGTTCTGGATCATGACCATGTTTTCAAATCAAAACTATGTCTTTGAAAAGGTATTCAAGACATGAAATTGATGCACCCCTGAGATAAAAGAAAGGAGTTAAAAGAAAAGTCTTATTAGACTGATTTGAAACTGGTTTAAAAAGGCATCATCTAACCAGGTTTGTACTGTGGCTAACATTTTAAATATGGCCACTACAGCTGTTAAGGGGAGGGGTAGAAAAGTCCTCTTAATTATTTATTATGTTAGCTATTAGACTGAATCCTAAAGAGTCAGATGAAAGAATAGATTCTTGGCAAGAGCAATGCAAACATTTCTCTACTGTCATTCAAAGACCAAGTGATGCCTTTCAGAAATAGTTGGATGTTTTCTTAGAATTTTTATACCCATCGCCTCACTGAGTCCTCACAACCCTCTAAGATGAAAGCTCTTCTTTCCCACAATTTCAGATAAGGGTTAGAGAGATTAAGTAACTTCTTCTAAACCACACAGCTAGGGAGCTGTGTGAGCAGTACATCTAAGACGGGAGCAGGTCTACCCAACCCAAAGCCTGGGTCCGCCATTATCAGGCCAACATGGTGCAGGGGCGCCAGCAGCCTCCAGCAAGGGATTCCTGGATTGGATGCCCTACTGGGCTGGTGAGGAGGAGAAGCACTGGAGCACGTGCTCAATATATAGACTCTTACCGGATTACTTGTTATTGCTGTGGCCTCTGCCTTCAGCTGAGCCTGGTGTTCCCTCTGCTGGAGGGACTGGGTCGGGAAGGGTTCTCATTGCTTCCCAGGAAGACTTTAAACCAGTCCCCCTGTTTATGCTCCCACCTGAACCTCCATGAGGTTGCTAATGATACAAATTCCTGAGGCTTCCTAGAAGCTGTGACTCAATTCAGCCCATGGCTCGGTTTCCTCTTGACCAGCTTAGGCTGTAGGTTTTCCCTTCTGCAAAATCAGTGACCAATATCTATCTGACTTAGAGCCTCCCCATTGTTGTTACTTTTAGCGAGCATATCCTCCTACTGTCTTTGTCCTTGTAGGACTATGCCTTTTTAATTCCGTTTTTATCATTTTAATGCAATTTTCAGAGGAAGCAACAATAAACATATTTGTTCAATGCACCATACTTACCTGGCTCTTTGAAACAAAAATATTTCCATGGACAAGAAAAATTTGCACTGAAGCCTTTATGCAAGCGAAGGGTTACACACAAAGTCTACTTCCAGCATGCAAAACATTAGGGCCCACAAGCTCTAACTGTAAACAGGTGAGCTGTGTCCTTACTGCAGACATTTTTGCAAATATGACCACCTACAATTATATGGTCTGTTTTCAAGCTTGGAGAAAGAAATGAGAAAAGCCAGCCCCAGCCATTTTCAATTGTTCATGTCTCCAGTAACAAGACCATCATTTGCAGCATGAGTTGGACCATTTTTCACAAAGCTTAGTCACTATTATTTTAGGGCAACCCTATGAAATGGTGCAGCCTACTAAATTGTACTATTGCCAGAGCTCTGGACACTTTGTAACTTCTAAATTTTGGAGCCGTAAAATAGAGCGATAATATATCACTTGCAAGAGAATGGAAGTAATTTCTTGCCATAGTCCTTTAACACCAAAACCAGGTTAACCAATCCAGTTGTCTGGGTTATGTTTCTATAGCCCAACGGGAAAACTTAGCTGATTGCTGATATTAACTGGGCAGTTCCTTCACCTGACCTTGCTCCCTGGCATGGGCAATAAGACATTGGCAAGAAAAGACTTGAGCAGAAAATAACCACAAATCCTAATTTCCTGACTCTTCCCCCAATGCACACTAGAAAATACAAGTTATAACAAAGCGATTTTATAAGATGTCACTTCTATTGCTCACCCCTATTCTAGGACACCCTTGAGGAACGTTGCCCTGAGAGTGTCCTAAGAGACTTTTTGTCAATTTACCACATGATAATCCTTCCTTCATTTGGAATTATAAGTTCTACACTATATCATGTCCCAGAGAAAATGTATATAAATTACAATAAAGAATAGGAATGAAGTGGGAACATGTCCTATAAATTTCTAACATCATGCTTTCTTGTTCTAAGATCTTACACATGCTTGAGATTGGAGAAAGCCCACCACTCAGATCCCCATAGAAAGAAGGAAAATCACAATGGATTTCATCATGGCCATCATCTCAGATATAAAAAAGAAGTAAGTAAAGATGCTTCATACCATATGTCATTAGAAAATTGCAAACTAAAACAACAATGCGACACCACTACATACTTACACACCAAATACTGTCAAAGATGTGGGGCAACAAGAACTCTAATTCATTAGTGGTGGGAATGCAAAATGATACAGCTACTTTGGAAAACAATTTGGCAGTTTCTTACTGAGATAAACATACAATTACCATGTGACCGAGGAATCATGCTCCTTGGTATTTACCCAAATGAACTGAAAACTAATGTTTGCATAAAAACCTGCAACAGATATTTATAGCAGCTTTATTCACAATTGCTAAAACTTGGAAGCAACCAAGATGTCCTTCAGTAGGTGAGTGGATAAATAAACTGTGGTACATCCAGATGGTAAGATATTATTCAGTGCTAAAAAGAAATGAGCAATCAAGCCATGAAAAGACATGGAGGAAACTTCAATGTATATTATTAAGTGAAGAAGCCAATCTGAAAAGGCTACTTACTGTATGATCTCTACTGTATGACATTTCTGGAAAAGGCAACATGAGGGAGACAGCAAAAAGATCAGTGGTTGCTAGGGGTTGGGAATTGGAAGAGTTAAATAGGCAGAGCACAGAGGATTTTTAGGGCAGTGAAACTACTTTGTAGGATACTGTAATGGTGGATCCATGTCATCAAACTTTCATCAAAACCCATAGAGTGTACAACACCAAGAGTGAAGCCTAATGTAAACCATGAACTTTGGATGACAATGGTGTGTAAGAATTTAACAAATGTCCCACTCTCGTGCAAGATATTGATAATAGGTGAGATTGTGCATGTGGGGGATACATGGGAACTGTATTTTTGCTCAATTTTCCTGTAAACCTGAAAATGTTCTACAAAAAATAAAACATATTTTAAAATAAATCTTAAATGAGTTCATCTCAACTCAGGGAAGCAGTAACCAGATTACAGCCATAGAACTTGACCAAGTTTGTCAAGGAAGGGAGGGAGGGAAAGAGAGAAAGAAGGAAGAGGGAGGGGAGAAGAGGGGAGGAGGGGGGAAGAGAGGGGAGGGGAAAGGTGGGGAAGGGAGGGGAAAGGAGAGAAGGGAAGATGAGGGGAAGGGAGGGGAAGGAAGGAGGGATGGAAAACCCTCATTAACAGAGGGCTGAGAAACCAGGACGGATGATAACTGATTATTACTATAGTTGACCCCTTGAACAACATGGATTTGAACTGTGCTGGTCCACTTATATGGGGATATTTTTCAATAAAAGTTACACCAAATGTGTCTACCTCTCCTGCCTCCACTTCCACCTCCTCCACCTCTTCTGCCTCTGCCACCCCAAGACAGCAGAACCAAGCCCTCCTCTGCCACCTCCTCAGCCTACTCAATGTGAAGAAATGAGGATAAAGATCTTTATGATGATCCCCCTTCCACTTAATGAATAGTAAATATTTCTCTTCCTTTTGATTTTCTTATTTTCTTTCCTGTAGCTTATTTTAAGAATATAGTATATAATACATATAACATACAAGACATGTGTTCATCAACTGTTATAGGAAAGGCTCCTGGTCAGTAGTAGGCTATTAGTAGGTAAGTTTTGGGGTAATCAAAGTTACATTCAAATTTTTAAGGCATGGGGAATCAGCACCCCTAACCCCCACATTGTTCAAGGGTCAACTGTGTATTAGTATTCTGTTGCTGCCTAACAAATTACCACAAATGTAGTGGCTTTAAACACCAGGCATTTATTGTCTCACAGTTTCTGTGTGTCGGGAGCATGCCAAGGCTTAGCTGGTTTCTCCACTCAGGGTCTCACAAGGTTGCAGTCAAGGTGTCAGCTGGGCTGCATTTCATCACAGGCTTAACGGGGAAAATTCGCTTTCAAGCTCCCCAGGATTAATTTCCTCGCAGCTGTAGAACTCATAGCCACTTTCTTCTTCAAGGCCAGAAGGAAAGAGTGTCTCTGACATCAAGGAGGGTCCCACTTCCTCTTTTAAGGGCTTTCACCTTTAATTCAGACCCACCCAGAACAGTCTCTTTGATTAACTCAAAATCAACTGATTAGGGACCTTAATGATACATCCATTTATCTTTGCCACACAACATAACATCACCACAGCAGTGTCATCCCATTACCTTTACCATATTCTATTGGCCAGAAACAAATCACAGGTGCCACAAATACTCAAGGAGAGGTGATTATGAACAACTGTGACTCATTGGGGGTCACTTTATAGTGTATCACCCACAATTACTCCATTTTTATTTTTTTATTTTTATTTTATTTTATTTTATTTTATTTTTGAGATAGGGTCTCACTGTCACCCAAGCTGGAGTGCAGTGGTGCAATCATGGCTCACTGCAGCCTCGACCTCCCAGCTCAGGTGATGCTCCCACCTCAGCCTCCCAGGTATCAGGGACTATAGGCACAGGCCACCACACCTACCTAATTTTTTGAGATATGGGGTTTTGCCATATTGCTCAGGCTGGCCTCAGACTCCAGGGCTCAAGCGATCTGCCTGCCTCAGCCTCCCAAAGTGCTGGGACTACAGCTGTGAGCCACTGTATTAGTCCATTCTCACACTGCTATAAAGACATACCTGAGACTGGGTAGTTTATAAAGGAAAGAAATTTAATTGACTCACTGTTAAACATGGCTGGGGAGGCCTCAGGAAACTTACAATTATGGCAGGAAGCAAGAGAGAAGCAAAGGCATATCTTGCATGGTGGCAGGCAAGAGAGCACAAATGAGTGAAGGAGGAAGAGCCCTTTATAAAACCATCAGATCTCATGAGAACTCACTCACTATCACTCAGCATGGGGGAAACTGCCCCCATGATCCAATCACCTCCCACCAGGTCCCGCCCTTGACTAATGAGGATTTGGGGATTACAATTCCAGATGAGATTTGGGTAGGGACACACAGCAAAACCATATCAGCCACCATGACTGGGCCATATTTTCTTAGGTAGAAAATAAAATGGAGTTGTTATGAACGATTTTTAACTATATCAGTCTCTTGGGCTATTGATTCATTTCCTTGTTGAACTATAAAAAGAATAGATTAAGTAATTTAGGGCGTGGCTAGGACAGGAGAGTCTCTCTTAATCTTTGGTCAAAAACTGCCCTCAAATACATCCATTGGCCAGGCGTGGTGGCTCACGCCTATAATCCCAGCACTTTGGGAGGCTGCGGTGGGCAGATCACAAGGTCAGGAGTTTGAGACCAGCCTGACCAATATGGTAAAACCCTGTCTCTACTGAAAATACAAAAATTACCCAGGCATGGTGGCAGCTGCTTGTAATCCCAGCTACTCAGGAGGCTGAGGCAGCAGAATCACTTGAACCGGGAGGCGGAGGTTGCAGTGAGCTGAGATTGTACTACTGCACTCCAGCTTGGGCAACAGAGCAAAATCCTGTCTCAAAGAAAAAAAAATTCATGGGGGGTAAAAGTGCAAGAAGTAGTGGCCCCTCTCGCTGTCTTTTGACTGTCAGTTACACAAACCAATGAAAAATGACCGGACACCATGGTTATGAGATGAAAAGGAGCAATATTTTGAAAATGAGTCATGCACTTTTCTTTTTGCCTTCCCTAACCTGCTCCATCTGAGGCATTTCTCAGCCTGCAGGATGGCTAGGATTTGATACCAAAAGAATGCCAGAGAAAGACCTTAGCTTTTGACACACAGGCAAAAGAAAATTTTCAGCAAGGAAATAACTTTAGCGTATAGGCCACTCCCTTCAGATGGCATTGTCTGTATTCCTTCACTTCCCCTGTTGGACGTCAAGGGCCAGTTTGGTAGAACGGGCCACGAAGAGGCCTTGGGCTGAGAGAGAACGTGTGGTGAAGGAACCCCGGCAGCAGCAGGAGGAGGCCCCACAGCAAAGGCTGGAGGAGCTGGAGGTTGTAGGCTGGATGGAGGATGCAGCTGGGAGCAGCAGAAATCAAGGTTGCTGAGCCAGCCAGGGAGCTTCACAGGCTCTGACCAAGCTCAGCCAGGCCAAAGTGGCATTACCCCACTGCAGACATCACTGGGAATAGCAGAGGCAAACTGCTGCCAGCTGAGCTGGGGCCATAGCTCTTGCACCGGAGGAAGCAAAAACACTGATTCCTAAGACCCCCACCCCTTCTAGCAGCTCTGAGATAGCATAAGCCATGCCCCTCCAACCCGTGTACCTGCACACCAGCTTCAGGCAAAGGGGAGGCTGAGAAACTGACCACATGTAAAGAATGCTCCCATTTCTATTTTTTAAAGTGAGTTCATAAAACAATATTACATATTTTTTATTAGAATAAATCTATATATGTATGTTCCTAGAAGTGGGTCTGGATGTATACAGACCAGACTCTGTGGGAATGGGGCTGGACTGAAAACAGGATGGGAGAGCAACTTTACCAAATATAAATTTCTGAATTATATGTATAATTAAAACTTAACTCACAAAAGAATCATTTGGGAAATTTGTTTAAAAATACATATTCTTTGGCCCTACCCTGAACCTTCAGAATCAAACTGTACTAGGTGGAGGACCGGGATTCTGCACTGTTCATAGGTAGCTCAGGGGCCTATTAACCTGAGCTACTGGTGTAAAGAGACAGACACCTCATCTGCAGACCTGCATTTTGGAACTGCTGCAGAAGATTCTGTTTGTTCCAACACTGATTTACTACACTTTGTCAGTAACAGGTATGTGGTTTGAGTCCTATCTGAATGATCTCCTGATCTGTCAAAGCAGATAAACAGCAAAGTTTAATTCCAACTGTGAAGGCATTCTCTACATAGAATGTGAACTCCATGAGAGCAGGGATTTTGTCTGTTTTACAGCTGGCTGAACAAATGAATGAATGATGAGCCTACAAACCTGTTCACATCCCCAACAAGTGAAATAGTCATGTGTAAAAGGATGTCTGTCATGGCCTCAAAATGTAAGGGATTTATTTCCTTCCCTATTCTCTCTGCTCCAATACATCTCAATAGGAGAAATCAAATTGCTTCTGCCCTCTGAAGTAGCTGGGTCTCCGAGCAGACTTGCTTCCCTCCAACTCTAACCTGGTGCTCTGCCACATGCACCACAAAGAGACATAAACCGCACTCCAAAAATCCTTGCAAAGCCACATTTTTACTGATGACTCTAAAAGAGTCCCCAAAGGGAGACACACGAGAAGCAAAACCTCCCCCAAACCCCATTCCCCTATTTCTCCTCTAGGAGTCCTGGCAACGCAAGCAGCTGCCACCAACCCCTCCCCTGTCCCCCAGCTTGCCGGCCTGTACTTTCCCCCCAATGCCCCCTCCTCCTCTGCTGCCCCAGCTCCTCCTCTGGCCTTTTTGATCTCTTCCACTTTTCAGGGAGTAGTGACCCCACACCCTCTTAAATGACTGGATAGTAATAGATTCACACTCTTCACACAACTAACGCCAGCAGCACCCTAGAGTTCTCTCTTTCTCCACTTCTCAGATCAACGGAAGGGGTCCAGGGCATGATAAGAAAGAACCTTCTCAAAGGCAAAAGAGGTGCATGGGCTATGAATCTATGAAGTGGATAGTTTGTCCCTGCGGTCAGTCAAACCCAAAACGAGACTTAGACTCTACCTCATGTATTATTATGAAACAGGCTTTGCATTAGATGATTTTGTCCAACTCTACAGTTGGGTAAGGTAAGTGTTCTGACCACGTTTGCGGAAGGCTGGGCTGACCTGTGATGTTCAGTAGGCTAGGTGTATTAAATGCATTTTCAACATGATATTTTCAATTTGTGGCAGGTTTATCGGGACATAGCCCCATCGTAAGTCACAGAGCATCTGTATTTGCAGATTAGGTGCTGGATAAATATTTGCTAATTTCCAAAAAAGCTTCAGGTAACATGTCTGCCTTTTCCAAAAAGAATGTGCCTGGGGAGTAAAAAAGCAACCAAGTCATCTCTGAATACAAAGGACAACTGTTATGTAAATATATGATAGGAATAGTCATTCAAACATGAAATTGATCCTGGAGGACTCATAAAATAAACTGTAGGCGATCCGAACATCTCCTGTGGATTAGCAGCCAATTAATTCTACTGACACTGTACAAGGAATGGTTTCTATTAGAGTAGGCTTTGAAAGGAGGCGGTGGCAAGTCATTGCCCGTTATCCCCCTTCCTAATGTGAAAAGTGTGTCTGGCTACTGGACCAGATCTGTATCCGTGACTGTGCCCGGCAGGGTGGATAAACCCCAGCTGGACGGGATTATGCCTGAGGACCCCATATTCAGGGAATTTGTCTTTTCCCTCTGGTCCCCAAAATACCTGAGAAAGAGCTATCGCAGGAGGAGGAAGAGGAGGAGGAGGAGATCAGTATGGCATAAAGGAAGAACTTAGCAGGGGTTTTAGGCTCATTAGTACCGAATAGTGCAAAATAGTCCAGTGCAAGAAAGTAGGTCGTTGAGAAAGAAAGGAGAGACTCCCGGAGAAAATCATACGTGCTCTTCACCCTGACACAGGGATTCCTGGGAGTCGAGTGAAATGCCTTGTTGTTGTTGTTGCACCACACACACTGTCTGAAATGCAAATCGGCAGCAAATCGCCTCGAAGGCCGGCGAGAGCAGCGAGAACTCTCAGCCTCCGAGCCCTGTCAAGTGCAGTTCACGCAGAGCAAAATTAATGCTGTAAACGAGAGGCAAAGTTCACTTATGAGCAACTCTCTAATGGGCAATTACCTCTTCTCTTTGCTTTCATTCCTTTTTTCTTTTTTTTCCCCCCCTAGCGTTAAGGTATAGTAGGCAATAGAGGATATGAAGGAGACTGCAGTTTTATTTAGTCTGGCTAAGAAGGCAGCTTTTATGCATTTTCTGAGGTGTGTATAATTACAGGTGCAGTTAATGTGCTTAAGAGCTTAGGGGAAGCAATTGTATATGAAAGATAACTTCCTAACAGACAGCTTTATTACAGCTGGGCCCCGCAGCCTCTCGGCTCCGGAAATATGCACACTTCTCCACACTTCCCGTCCCTCTTGTCCTAGCGGGGCTTAGCCCTGGAAAGATGTGTCGCCTGTGGAAATATGTCAGCTAGGCCTCAAGAGTCACACAGATGCTTAATACACGTCCTCAAATCTCTCAGAGCTCCTTGAAAAAGAGAAACCCAGAAAAGGGCAGGCCAGGACCAAAGATCCTAAACCACCCACACCTGGCCAGAAAGGGCCCCAGGCAACCACATGGAAGCCTCTTAAGAACCCGGATGGGAAGCTCCATTCAGGCCATTTTCAAATGACGATGCGACTGGAGTAGTAGGACAGCATTCCATGTTAGTCTTGGCACGGAGCCCACTGAATTAGGTACCACTCAGCACCCTACAAAAGTCCCATCCAGGGCAATCGCCGACAAACCATTGTTGGCTTAAAAACGCCCCTTCTCTGAAGGATCAGGTGACCAGGTGAGGAACACGTGCTCTGCCAGGGCAACTGGCCCACACCGGGGAACAGAATCAAGACTATGGTTACGGAAAATGCAGTGTGGCTCGGTGTTTTCGTGGGGCTGGATCAGGGATCAAACTCAAGGGAAGAAAAAAACTAGAAGGACATGAAGAGCCAGGAAGGGTGAAAGGGAAAACATGAGAGAGGAAAAGCAACAGACCAGCACAGAGTCGCCTGTCTCCGTCCCTCTGTGTCCCTCTCTGTCCCTGTCTGTCCCTCTCCGTCTGTCTCTGTGTCTCTGTATGTCTCTTTGTCCCTCTCTCTATTTTTCTGTTTTTCTCTCTCTCTGTTTACACCCTGCATTTTCCAGGGTTTTCTTACAATTATCCTCTTCAAATTCCTGGAGAAACAGAGTCCATTCCAGAACTTATCCTCTGTCTCTCTCTGTCCCTCTCTGTCTCTCGCTGTCTCTGTGTCTCTGTCTCTCTGTGTCTCTCTATTTTTCTGTTTCTCTGTCTCTTTCTGTTCCTCTCTCTTTGTCCTCCTCTCTCTCTGTCATCTCACTCTTTCTCTGTTTCTCTGTCTCTCTCTGTCTCCATGTGTGTGTTTCTTTCTCTCCTCTCTCTCTCTGTCTCACACACACACACACAGAGAGAAAGGGAGAGGGAGAGAGGGAGGGAGAGAGAGATTTGCCAAAACCACATAACTGGGACAAAGACACAGATGCAGAGAACGATGCATTACGAGACTCAAACATGAAGACCCCCAGGGAAAGCTGCAACTCCAACTGCCCTTTACCCCTCACAGGCTGAGACACAGACTGCTGTTTCATCTTTTTGTTTTTGTTCTAATGTCAGAGCTTTGTATTTTTGTGAATGTAAGCACAATTCATGATATCATCTCCTGGTACTTACTACATGTTCTGCCTGAAACAGAGCTAAGAACACCGTGTCCCTGTCCACATGGGTTGTTAATGGGAAAAGCAACGGGCCAAGGCCTAGACTAGATGTGACAGTTTATAGCTTGCATTTTCCAGGGTTTTCTTACAACTATCTTCTTCAACTTCCTGGAGAAACGGAGTCCATTCCAAAACTTATTTTCTGAGTCTTTTGCCTCATTCCTCGCTCACCTAAGCTCTATTCACTTGGCTTTTTATCTGGATCCCTCCTCTCAAAAAATATTTGTTTTCACGGAGAATCCAACACTTCCATCCTTCAGTACCAGCAGCCCCGTGCCAGGTTTTTCTCTCCCAAATACTGTGTTGGGTAAGCGTTATGAAAATGATCTGGGATGGTGCTGGTCACGTTGCTTAACGCCGTGTCACAGAGGCACCAGTGACTACTGTCTTTCTGCTTTTCCATTTGAGCCTGCCCCTTTCACCCCGGTGTCACCTCACAGTCCGCAGTAGCTGCCAGACCTCACCTATCATGTCCACTTGGAAAGGCTACAGAGGGCCTCTCCCAGCTGAGTGGCTGTCCTTACAGAGCCTCCTGGAAGCCCCCACTCAACACTTCTGTTTCCATATTTCGGTCAGCCTAGTCACCTCCTTGTATCTTACTGCAAGGGAAACCAAATGATCCAGCCTTTTACTGAGCCTCGTTACTCCAAGTCAAATGAGGGTGCTGCTATGAAGGAAGAAGAGAATATTGGATATTGGAAAGCAACTGATAAATTATGTTTTACGTAAAATTGAAATGAAAAAAACTTTCATTCATTCCACAAATGTGTATTGAATGTCAGCTCAGCGCCAGCTCTCTTCTGCAGGGTCCACACCCAGCCCTCTGGGGATGCTCTCATTTTTCCCTGACAGATGCTGGCCATGTAGTTCATTCCAGGCAGCCCTGCTGTGGTGGCATCTGGCAGGGGCAGCCACACCTCACACCTCGATGACCTCTTGGCAGACGTTCAGTTCCTACCTCCCCAGACTTCAGGGAACACGTGTCAAGCCCTCTGAATAATTCTCCAGAATCAACTCTCAACATAACTTGTGGAAGTTCCCCATGGCAGGTGGGAGGAGGGGACCCAGCACACTGATATTCTCTCCCCAGACACCCTAACCATCAACCTCTGGCCTCTAGGGTGGGTTTGTGCTATATTCTCCAGAATTCTCTTCCGTGTATGGTTCTAGGATAGTGTAGGCCACAGAGACATTTTACACAAGATCTGGAATATGGATGTGGAGCCGTAGCTGTGGTTTTGATGTCCTGAAGGCAGGCTGGCTGCAGGCTTATCTGCTGTCTCTCCTCTTTGCCACGGGGCAGCATCCACACGCCCACCCTCTCCAGCTCCCATAATATCTGCTCAGCCTCTCCAGGTCCTGCGCCAACTGGGTGCGGCCCCCAGGCCTACAGCCCTGCAGGCCCCCACAGCGCTGAGTTGATGCCAGTGAGAGTCAGGGGCCGATCCTCGCAGGTTTCAGTTGTACTTGTGGGTCCGAGCTCATCTCACAGGTTTCATTTTCTCCCTGCTCTCATTCACCTGCAATGTCCCTTCTCGCTGCTCGGCTGCCTGGTCCTCAGCTAGCTCCAGCTCAGCAGCAGGTGCAAAGGAGCAGCCCACATGGCTGCCTGGGCTCCCACAGCTGCATTGCATCTGACCCTGTGGCATCGCCCATCACCCACAGCAGTTACACTTCTCCAGCCAAGCCCGGACACCTCCTGTCTGACCCTGTGGCATCGCCCATCACCCTCAGCAGTTATGCTTCTCCGGCCAAACCCAGACGCCTCCTGATGAATTTTCCACTTCTCTTAAACAGCCTCACACAGTTGGGCACTGGGCTGATGCTGTCGGCACCTACATTTCCACACTCCCCTTTGCAAGGCCTCCCTGGGTGATCTAGCACCTCACTTCAGAATGAGGTTACACGTGACAACTAATGCTTGCTCTCAGTCTTTGGGGCTTCATGACTTTCAGCTGAAAGTCACTGCCTGGAAGGATTGTGTTTAACATACTGTCAAATGTGATTGATTGATAGATAAATAGATAGATGATAGACAGATAGATAGATAGATAGATAGATAGATAGATAGATAGACAGACAGACAGACAGACAGATGGATAGATAGATGTTAAAAATAAATACGGAGGCCGAGTGGGGTGGCTCCAACCTGTAATCCCAGTGCTTTGGGAGGCCATGGTGGACAGATTACTTGAGCTCAGGAGTTTGAGACCAGCCTGGGTGACATAGTGAGACCTCATTTCTACAAAAAATACAAAAATTAGCCAACTGTAGTCTCAGCTACTCTGGAGGCTGAGAGGGGAAGATCACTTGAGCCCAGAGTGGTTGAGGCTGCAGTGAGCCGTGATTGTGCTACTGCACTCCAGCCTGAGTGACAGAGGCTCGGAAAAAAGAAATAAATCAATAATTTTAATTAAAAATTAAAATAATAATAAAATAAATATGCAGAATTCCTCTATCATACCGCCCTGAGAGCTCAGGCCATGGGGCTATCTAAAAAAACAAATACTATAACAAGGTTTTTGCCACTGAGAACTTCTGTGGCTCTGATTTTATTAATGGAAGTATGAGAACCAACTTTATGTTAATCTCTCCATTACATTGAGTAATATTTCAATATAAATATGTCCCAAAAATGATTTGACTAAATTGGAAATATTATTAATATTGAAAAACAGAATTCATACTTGAAATGTTTTCTTATCCATATGTTAGCTTACAGTTATCGATTAAAAATCATGTTTAATCAACTTAAGTGCTTTTATAGTTAACAAAATGATTTTATCTTGTAAGAGAAGGACATTGTTATGTAATTTTATATATCAATTTAATTTTATTTTAAATAAATAAGATTCTGATAGTAGAAGATTACATGGAATATTTCTTGTGTGTAAATTAACTAAGAATTTAAAGATTATCTTGACAAAAACATGCTCAAAAGCACAGCATTTCCCAAATTGTGTTTTACAGAATGGAATACTAACAAGTGTTACTTAAAATAATATTTCTTTGGTCAAATAGGTTTGGGACACACTGCATTAACAAAATTCAAACTGATTTCTTTACCTCAAGGTTCCTAGTGTCATACACTGGCATTCTTAAAATTCATCAAGAAGAAGTATAATAAGAAGCAAGATTTTCCAACTTTATTTGCTAGTGGAACACTTTTTGTAAAATATTTTGGGAAACCAGTTGATACGGTTTGGCTGTGTTCCCACCCAAATCTTACCTTGAATTGTAATAATCCCCACATGTCAAGGGCGGGGCCAGGAAAGATAATTGAATCATGGGGGCAGTTCACCCCATACTGTTCTCGTGGTAGTGAATAAGGCTCACGAGGTCTGATGGTTTTATAAACAGCAGTTTCCCTGCACACGATCTCTTGCCTGCCGCCATGTAAGACATCCCTTTGGTCCTCCTTTGTCTTCCACCATGATTGTGAGTTCTCCCCAGCCATGTGGAACTGTGAGTCTATTAAACCGCTTTCCTTTATAAATTACCCAGTCTTGGGTATGTCTTTATTAGCAGCGAGAGAATAGACTAATACACCAGTGTACTAAAGAACACACATTGGGAAAACATCCAGGAAAGTTATATAATATCTTAAACAACTTTTAAGTCAATAATGGACAACATTTAATTATATATTATATACATACTAAATATATGTCATATATACAATATAAATATATACAAATTTCAAGTTACATAATTGAAATTTATGTTACATACATTGTACAAGTTATATTTGGGTTTAACATATGCAAGCCATATATTATATTTGGCTTACATATCAAGTATATATTATATATATTAAATATTATACATTATATATGATAGTATGTATATATACACACACACACACACAAATTTCAAGTTATATACTGGCTACATGTCTTGACTGTGTTCTATTGAAGTCATTATTTTATCATGACAACTTCATACTATTACTCCCACATACATAATGCCAGTGATACTACAGCACATTCTGAAGTCAAAAATAAAGGACTCATTTAGGAAATTTCACTGCTAATAACACAATAATTTGTAGAGCGTTTACTGCCAATAATGTGATTTTGCACTTTATTTACCAAATTATTTCTCCCAACCAACTTGACACTAGAAGGCAGGAGTTCAGTGCTGACATGTAAGAAACAATCATAATCAGTCTAGTTCTATCTATTAGATGAAATAAATAACCTGAAAATCCTTCCACTAAAAGTATACCTTAAAAATGTGAATAGGGTTGGAGCCAAGATGGCCGAATAGGAAGAGCTGCAGTCTACAGCTCCCAGAGTAAGCGACGCAGAAGACGAATGATTTCTGCATTTCCAACTGAGGTACCGGATGAATCTCACTGGGGATTGTCGGACAGTGGGTGCAGGACAGTGGGTGCAGCACATCGAGCATGAGCCAAAGCAGGATGAGGCATCGCCTCACCCGGGAAGCAAAAGGGGTCAGGGAATTCCCTTTCCTAGCCAAGGAAAGGGGTGACAGATGGCACCCGGAAAATCGGGTCACTCCCACCCTAATACTGCACTTTTCCAACGGTCTTAGCAAACGGCACACCAGGAGATTGTATCCCGCGCCTGGCTCGGAGGGCCCTATGCCACGGAGCCTCGCTCATTGCTAGCACAGCACTCTGAGATCAAACTGCAAGGTGGCAGTGAGGCTGGGGGATGGGTGCCCGCCATTGCCGAGGCTTGAGTAGGTAAACAAAGCAGCCAGGAAGCTTGAACTGGGTGGAGCCCACCGCACCTCAAGGAGACCTGCCTGCCTCTGTAGACTCCACCACTGGGGGCAGGGCATAGCCAAACAAAAGGCAGCAGAAACCTCTGCAGACTTAAATGTCCCTGCCTTACAGCTTTGAAGAGAGTAGTGGTTCTCCCAGCACACAGCTTGAGATCTAAGAACGGACAGACTGCCTCCTCAAGTGGGTCCCTGACCCCCAAGTAGCCTAACTGGGAGGCACCCCCAAGTAGGGGCAGACTGACACCTCACACAGCCAGGTACTCCTCTGAGACAAAACTTCCAGAGGAACAATCAGGCAGCAACATTTGCTATTCACCAACATCCGCTGTTCTGCAGCCTCCACTGCTGATACCCAGGCAAACAGGGTCCGGAGTGGACCTCCAGCAAACTCCAACAGACCTGCAGCTGAGGGTCCAGACTGTTAGAAGGAAAACTAACAAACAGAAAGGACATCCACACCAAAACCCCATCTGTACATCACCATCATCAAAGACCAAAGGTAGATAAAACCACAAAGATGGGGAAAAAACAGAGCAGAAAAACTGGAAACTCTAAAAATCAGAGCATCTCTCCTCCTCCAAAGGAGCGCAGCTCCTCACCAGCAATGGAACAAAGCTGGATGGAGAATGACTTTGACAAGTTGAGAGAAAAAGGCTTCAGATGATCAAACTACTCCAAGCTAAAGGAGAAAGTTCAAACCCACGGCAAAGAAGTTAAAAACCTTGAAAAAAGATTAGACGAATGGCTAACTAGAATAACCAGTGTAGAGAAGTCCTTAAATGACGTGATGGAGCTGAAAAACACGGCACGAGAACTACGTGACGAATGCGCAAGCCTCAGTAGCCGATTCGATCAAGTGGAAGAAAGAGTATCAGTGATGGAAGATCAAATGAATGAAATGAAGTGAGAAGAGAAGTTTAGAGAAAAAAGAATAAAAAGAAATGAACAAAGCCTCCAAGAAATATGGGACTATGTGAAAAGACCAAATCTACATCTGACGGGTGTACCTGAAAGTGATGGGGAGAATGGAACCAAGTTGGAAAACACTCTGCAGGATATTGTCCAGGAGAACTTCCCCAGTCTAGCAAGGCAGGCCAACATTCAGATTCAGGAAATACAGAGAATGCCACAAAGATACTCCTCGAGAGGAGCAACTCCAAGACACATAATTGTCAGATTCACCAAAGTTGAAATGAAGGAAAAAATGTTAAGGGCAGCCAGAGAGAAAGGTCGGGTTACCCACAAAGGGAAGCCCATCAGACTAACAGCTGATCTCTTGGCAGAAACTCTACAAGCCAGAAGAGAGTGGCGGCCAATATTCAACATTCTTAAAGAAAAGAATTTTCAACCCAGAATTTCATATCCAGCCAAACTAAGCTTCATAAGTGAAGGAGAAATAAAATCCTTTACAGACAAGCAAATGCTGAGAGATTTTGTCACCACCAGGCCTGCCCTAAAAGAGCTCCTGAAGGAAGCACTAAACATGGAAAGGAACAACCAGTACCAGCCACTGCAAAAACATGCCAAATTGTAAAGACCGTCGATGCTAGGAAGAAACTGCATCAACTAACAAGCAAAATAACCAACTAACATCATAATGACAAGATCAAATTCACACATAACAATATTATCCATAAATGTAAATGGGCTAAATGCTCCAATTAAAAGACACAGACTGGCAAATTGGATAAAGAGTCAAGACCCATCAGTGTGCTATATTCAGGAAACCCATCTCACATGCAGAGACACACATTGGTTCAAAATAAAGGGATGGAGGAAGAACTACCAAGCAAATGGAAAACAAAAAAAGGCAGGGTTGCAATCCTAGTCCCTGATAAAACAGACTTTAAACCAACAAAGATCAAAAGAGACAAAGAAGGCCATTACATAATGGTAAAGGGATCAATTCAACAAGAAGAACTAACTATCCTAAATATATATGCACCCAATACAGGAGCACCCAGATTCATAAAGCAAGTCCTTAGAGACCCACAAAGAGACTTAGCCCCCACACAATAATAATGGGAGACTTTAACACCCCACTGTCAACATTAGACAGATCAACGAGACAGAAAGTTAACAAGGATATCCAGGAATTGAACTCAGCTCTGCACCAAGCAGACCTAATAGACATCTACAGAACTCTCCACCCCAAATCAACAGAATATACATTCTTTTCAGCACCACACCACACCTATTCCAAAATTGACCACATAGTTGGAAGTAAAGCATTCCTTAGCAAATGTAAAAAAACAAATTATAACAAACTGTCCCTCAGACCACAGTGCAATCAAACTAGAACTCAGGATTAAGAAACTCACTCAAAACTGCTCAACTACATGGAAACTGAACAACCTGCTCCTGAATGACTACTGGGTACATAACAAAATGAAGGCAGAAATAAAGACGTTCTTTGAAACCAACGAGAAAAAAGACACAACATATCAGAATCTCTGGGACACATTTAAAGCAGGGTGTAGAGGGAAATTTATAGCACTAAATGCCCACAAGAGAAAGCAGAAAAGATCTAAAATTGACACCCCAACATCACAATTAAAAGAACTAGAGAAGCAAGAGCAAACACATTCAAAAGCCAGCAGAAGGCAAGAAATAACTAGGATCAGAGAAGAACTGAAGGAAATAGAGACCCAAAAAACCCTTCAAAAAATCAATGAATCCAGCATCTGGTTTTTTGAAAAGATCAACAAAATTGATAGACCACTAGCAAGACTAATAAAGAAGAAAAGAGAGAATCAAATAGATGCAATAAAAAATGATAAAGGGGATATCACCACCAATCCCACAGAAATACAAACTACCATCAGAGAATACTATAAACACCTCTATGCAAATAAACTAGAAAATCTAGAAGAAATGGATAAATTCCTCGACACATACACCCTCCAAAGACTAAACCAGGAAGAAGTTGAGTCTCTGAATAGACCAATAACAGGCTCTGAAATTGAGGCAATAATAGCTTACCAACCAAAAAAAGTCCAGGACCAGATGGATTCACAGCCGAATTCTACCAGAGGTACAAGGAGGAGCTGGTACCATTCCTTCTGAAACTATTCCAATCAATAGAAAAAGAGGGAATCCTCCCTAACTCATTTGATGAGGCCAGCATCATCCTGATACCAAAGCCTGGCAGAGACACAACAAAAAAAGAGAATTTTAGACCAATATCCCTGATGAAAATCAATGCAAAAATCTTCAATAAAATACTGGCAACCTGAATCCAGCAGCACCTCAAAAAGCTTATCCACCATGATCAAGTGGGCTTCATCCCTGGGATGCAAGGCTGGTTCAACATATGCAAATCAATAAATGTAATCCAGCATATAAACAGAACCAAAGACAAAAACAACATGATTATCTCAACAGATGCAGAAAAGGCCTTTGACAAAATTCAACAACGCTTCCTGCTAAAAACTCTCAATAAATTAGGTATTGATGGGACATATCTCAAAATAATAAGAGCTATCTATGACAAACCCACAACCAATATCATACTGAATGGGCAAAAACTGGAAGCATTCCCTTTAAAAACTGGCACAAGACAGGGATGCTCTCTCTCACCGCTCCTATTCAGCATAGTGTTGGAAGTTCTGGCTAGGGCAGTCAGGCAGGAGAAGGAAATAAAGGACATTCAATCACGAAAAAAGGAAGTCAAATTGTCCTGGTTTGCAGATGACATGATTGTATATCTAGAAAACCCCATCATCTCAGCCCAAAATCTCCTTAAGCTGATAAGCAACTTCAGCAAAGTCTCAGGATACAAAATCAGTGTACAAAAATCACAAGCATTCTTATACACCAAAAACAGACAAACAGAGAGCCAAATCATGAGTGAACTCCCATTCACAATTGCTTCAAAGAGAATAAAATACCTAGGAATCCAACTTACAAGGGATGTGAAGGACCTCTTCAAGGAGAACTACAAACCACTGCTCAATGAAATAAAAGAGGATACAAACAAATGGAAGAACATTCCATGCTCATGGGTAGGAAGAATCAATATCGTGAAAATGGCCACACTGCCCAAGGTAATTTATAGATTCAATGCCATCCCAATCAAGCTACCAATGACTTTCTTCACAGAATTGGAAAAAATTACTTTAAAGTTCATATGGAAACAAAAAAGAGCCCACATTGCCAAGTCAATCCTAAGCCAAAAGAACAAAGCTGGAGGCATCATGCTACCTGACTTCAAACTATACTACAAAGCTACAGTAACCAAAACAGCATGTTACTGGTACCAAAACAGAGATATAGACCAATGGAACAGAACAGAGCCCTCAGAAATAATCCCACATATCTACAACTATCTGATCTTTGACAAACCTGACAAAAACAAGAAATGGGGAAAGGATTCCCTATTTGATAAATGGTGCTGGGAAAACTGCCTAGCCATATGTAGAAAGCTGAAACTGGATCCCTTCCTTACACCTTATACAAAAATTAATTCAAGATGGATTAAAGACTTACATGTTAGACCTAAAACCATAAAAACCCTAGAAGAAAACCTAGGCAATACCATTCAGGACATAGGCATGGGCAAGGACTTCATGTCTAAAACACCAAAAGCAATGGCAACAAAAGCCAAAATTGACAAATGGGATCTAATTAAACTAAAGAGCTTCTGCACAGCAAAAGAAACTACTATCAGAGTGAACAGGCAACCTACAGAATGGGAGAAAATTTTTGCAATCTATTCATCTGACAAAGGGCTAATATCCAGAATCTACAATGAACTCAAACAAATTTACAAGAAAAAAACAAACAACCCCATCAAAAAGTGGGTGAAGGATATGAACAGACACTTCTCAAAACAAGACATTTATGCAGCCAACAGACACATGAAAAAATGCTCATCATCACTGGCCATCAGAGAAATGCATATCAAAACCACAATGAGATACCATCTCACACCAGTTAGGATGGCGATCATTCAAAAGTCAAGAAACAACAGGTGCTGGAGAGGATGTGGAGAAATAGGAACACTTTTACACTGTTGGTGGGACTGTAAACTAGTTCAACCATTGTGGAAGTCAGTGTGGCGATTCCTCAGGGATCTAGAACTAAAAATACCATTTGACCCAGCCATCCCATTACTGGGTATATACCCAAAGGATTATAAATCCTGCTGCTATAAAGACACATGCACACGTTATGTTTATTGTGGCACTATTCACAATAGCAAAGACTTGGAACCAACCCAAATGTCCAAAAATGATAGACTGGATTAAGAAAATGTGGCACATATACACCATGGAATACTATGCAGCCATAAAAAAGGATGAGTTCATGTCCTTTGTAGGGACATGGATGAAGCTGGAAACCATCATTCTCAGCAAACTATTGCAAGGACAAAAAACCAAACACCACATGTTCTCACTCATAGGTGGGAGTTGAACAATGAGAACACATGAACACAGGAAGGGGAACATCACACACCGGGGACTGTTGTGGGGTGGGGGGAGTGGGGAGGGATAGCATTAGGAGATATACCTAATGTTAAATGACGAGTTAATGGGTGCAGCACACCAACAAGGCACATGTATACATATGTAACAAACCTGCACATTGTGCACAAGTACCCTAAAACTTAAAGTATTTTAAAAAAAGAATATCAATTGAACAATAATTCATTAATATATACTTAGAAAATAGTTTAAAAAGCAGTGATTCTGAATAAATATATTCGTTCATTTAAAAAAAATGTGAATAAAGTACAGTAAGTGCTCCATACCTGTCAGTTCCCCATTCAGGGATTCAATCAACTGTGGATGAGAATATGCAAAAAATAAAAATAAAACAAAAAATAATAATACAATGGTTTTTAAAATACAAATTAAAAACAATATGGTATAACAACTATTTGCACAGCTTTTTTTATTGTATTAGGCATTATGAATAACCTAGAGATGACTTAAAGTATATGAGAGAATATGTGTGGGTTATATGCAAATACCAGCACCGCCATTTTATATAAGAGACTTGAGCATCCACAAGATTTTGGTATCTGCAAAAGATCCTGGAACCAATCCCCTGCAGACACCAAGGGAAAACCGTATAGGAAATATCCTGTGAAATTCATAGTGAAGCTTATAATAAAGTAAAGGAATCTCCCAATGGCTAAAAATGAACTGGAAATTAGAAACTAGAAAGTTAAGGCTGTCTTTGTTGGAGCAAGAGTAGCTCCAAACAAACCAAGAAGCTTAGGTTTTAATGTCTCACAAGCACAGATAATAAGACCTTAGCCCCCAACAAGACTGGGAGTTAGAACTGAGACCCCCTGATGAAGACAGGGTCCTCACATGGTTATATTCTCAATAAAAAGATGATTTTTAAAAATCCTTTCACTGGCCCAGAGAAACATCAAGGAATCTCTTTAATTATTAACTGAGCTTTGGCTGGAAATAGATAGCCTCTTAGAATTTGCAACAATGAACTTACCCTCACTCAAATTTTTGGTTTGAATTTATAGGCTCATATGGTCCAGAAACCTCCATGTCAAGAAAACAGATAAAAATATTTCCAATATGCTTATATTCTTAAGGTATCTTGCAGAAGCAAACTCAAAAACTACTCAGGGGGCTGGAGGGTGGAGATTGTATCACACACTCATTCCCCAGAAAAATTCACAAAGATAAACCCCACCAAATAAATGCTCATGACCTAGAATGTAAAATACATGAGGAAAAAAATCCACTATGAGAGAAAAGGATCAACAAGCACCAAAAACAATGCAATTAAACCCCTAAGAACTTAGGATAATAGAGCAATTAGATACTCTATGAACGAATGTATTTTTAAAAGATGTAAAAGAGGAAACAAAGACATAAAACCAAGGAACTATTAAAAAAAGACATTTAAAAAACTATCCAAACAGAACACCTAGAAATGAAAAATGTAGTCACTGTGTTTTAAAACTAAATAGACAGGTTAATTAGACAGCAGGTTAGACAGAGGTGAGTGAAGGAATTGGTGAATCAGAAGATATTTCTGTGAAAATTTCCCAGAATGAATAAGAGAGAAATAAAGAAATGGAAAACGTTGTAATTTGAGAAACAATGTGGATAAAATGAGAAGATCCAAGAATTTTCTAAAAGAATATCCAGAGAAAGAATATAGAAAGAGGAAGAGGCAATATTTTCAGAACTAAAGAAAGACAGTAATCACATAATTCTAGAATCACTTCAACTACCAAATATAGTAAATAAAAATAAATTTCACTTAACACATTTAGAGAAAAACTGTAAAATACTAAAGACAAAGAGAAAACTTTTATATGAAGCATTAAGAAAACATAGATTACTCACAGAGGACCAAAAGTCAGATTGACAACAGACTTTTCAACTATGATAATACAACCCAGCAAACAATGGAAAATATTTTCAAAATATTAAAAGGAAAAAAAGTAGTCATCTTAGAATTCTAAACCCAGCTAAACTAGAATTGAAGAATGAGGACAAATACAGACTTTCAAACAAGCTAAGACTTCACTTGAAAAAATGACAAAATATTATTTCAGCAAGAAGAAAAATTAAACATAGAGGAAAAGACTGAGGTAAAAGAAAGTTGAGCAAAGAAATCAGTAAATATGTGGATATTTGTAAAGAAGCTTTGGCTAGTATAAAGCAATGATAATAAAAACACATGGTTGGAAAACAAGTAAAACTAAAATACTGGGCATAAATATTTTTTTTAATGGTGTATTAGTCTGTTCTCACACTGCTATATAAAGAGACTACCTGAGACTGGGTGATTTATAAACAAAAGAGGTTTAATTGACTCACAGTTCCACATGGCTGGGGAGGCCTCAGGAAACTTACAATCATGGCAGAAGGTGAAGGGGAAGTAAGGCATGTCATACATGGCAGCAGGAGAGAGAGAGTGCAGGGGAAACTGCCAAACATTTTTAAAACCATTGGCTGCTCTGAGAACTCACTCACTATCATGAGAACAGCATGGGGGAAGCTGTCCCCATGATCCAATCACCTCCCACTTGGTCCCGCCCTCAACACCTGGGGATTACAATTCAAGATGAGATTTGGGTGGGGACACAGAGCCAAACCATATCATTCCACCCCTGGCCCCTCCCAAATTTCATGTCCTTTTCACATTTGAAAACCAATCATGCCTTCCCAACAGTCTCTCAAAGTCTTAATTCAGTATTAACCCAAAAGTCAAAGTCCAAAGTTTCATCTGAGACAAGGCAAGTCCCTTCCACCTATGAGCCTGTAAAATCACTGTTACTTCCAAGATATAATGGGGGTACAGGTATTGGTACATGTTCCCATTCCAACTGGGAGAAATTGGCCAAAAAAAAAAGGGATCACAGGCACCATGCAAGTCCAAAACCCAGCCAGGCAGTCTTTAAATCTTAAAGCTCCAAAACCTCCTTTGACTCCATGTCTCACATCCAGGGCACACCAGTGCAGTGGTGGGCTCCACAGCCTTGGGCAGCCCCACCCCTATAGCTGTGTAGGGTACAGCCCCTGCAGCTGCTTTCAGGGGCTGGCATTGAGTGCCTGTGGCTTTTCTAGGAGCAAGTTGCAAGCTATTGGTGGATCTACTTTTCTGGGGTCTGGCAAACTGTGACCCTCTTCTCACAGCTCCACTAGGTGGTGCCCATATGTGGACTCTGTGTGAGGACTCCAACCCCACATTTCCCTTTCACACTGCCCTAGGAGAGGTTCTCCATGAGGGCTCTGGCCCTGCAGCAGACTTCTGCCTGGACATCCAAGAGAATCCATACATCTTCTGAAATCTAGGCAGAGGTTCCCAAACCTCAACTCTTGTCTTCTGTACACCCACAGGCCCAACACCACATGGAAGCCACCAAGGCTTGGGGCTTGCACCCTCTGAAGAAATAACCTGAGATGTGCCTTGGCCCCTTTAGCTTGGGCTGGAGCTGGAGTGGCTGGGACACAGGGTACCAAGTCCCAAAGCTGCACAGAGCAGTGGGGCCCTGAGCTGGGCCCAGGAAGCCATTTTTCCCTCCTAGGCCTCCAGGCCTATGATGGGAGGGGCTGCCCTGAAGTTCTCTGACATGCCCTGAAGACATTTTCCCCAATGTCACGGCTATTACCATTCAACTCCTCATTAGTTATGAAAATTTCTGCAGCTAGTTTGAATTCCTCCCCAGAAAATGGAATTTTCTTTTCTTCTACATGGTCAGGCTAAAAATTTTCCAAACCTTTATGCTCTGCTTCCCTTTTAAACATAAGTTCCAATTTCAAACCAAGTCTTTGTCAATGCTGAACATTTATATATTATAACTGAACATTTTCAGAATAAGCCAGGTTATCTTTTGGATGTTTTGTCACTTAGAAATTTCTTCTGCCAGATACCCTAAATAATCTCTCTCAAGTTCAAAGTTCCACAGATTTCTAGGGCAGAGGCAAAATGCCGCCAGTCTCTTTGCTAAAGCATATAGCATGAGTGACCTTTAATCCATTTCTCAATAAGTTCTTCATCTTCATTTGAGACTACTTCAGTCTGGACTTCATTGTCCATATCACTATCAGCATTTTGGTCAAAACCATTCAACAAGTCTCTAGGAAGTTCCAAACTTTCCCACATCTTCCTGTCTTCTTCTGAGTCCTCCAAACTATTCCAACTTCTGCCTGTTACCCAGTTCCAAAATTGCTAAACATTTCCAGGTTATCTTTACAGGCGTATCCCACTCTGCTGGTACCAATCTTCTGTATTAGCCCATTCTCACACTGCTATAAGGATACTAAGTGAAACTGGGTAATTTATAAACAAAAGAGGTTTAATCAACTCACATTTCCACATGACTGGGGAGGCCTCAGAAAACTTACAATCATGGCAGAAGGTGAAGGAGAAGCAAGGCAGGTCTAACATGGTAGCAGGAGAGAGAGAGTGCAGGGGAAACTGCCAAAACCATCAGCTCTCATGAGAATTAACTATCATGAGAATAGCATGGGGGAAACCATCCCCATGATCCACCTAGTCCCTCCCTTGACACCTGGGAATTACAATTTGAGATGAGATTTGGGTGCGGACACAGAACCAAACCATATCAAATGGGAAGAGTGGTTGAAATTAAAATATTCTAAGATGTTAGTCAAGTATTAAGTTATTAGTCAGGAAGTATGTAAATAACACTTACCTTGACACGAATATGAAGTATCATGTTACACTTTTAGGATAATCAGAAAAAAAAAAAATAGGAATAGTATGCATAGCTTCCAGTGAAATTGAAGTGCAGGGAGGAAAAAAGAGTGAAAACTAAATTAACCAATAAAGTGGATAATAGGGAAGTTAAAGCAAAGAAAAGGTAGAATAAGTGAAAAGGAAAAATTGATCTGTAATCATAATAGATCTCTATCTACCAGGTAGAAGAAAGATTCTTCAATCACTTTTTAAAAATCGAAATCTGGCTATGTGTTTCTATAAGAGATATGTTTAAAACATACTAGTAAAGAAACGTTATAAATAAAGAAATAGAGAAAAAACATGCCGGCCGGGCACAGCGGCTCATGACTGTAATCCCAGCACCTTGGGAGGCCAAAGCAGGCGGATCACTTGAGGTCAGGAGTTTGAGACCAGACTGGCCAACATGGTGAAATCCCCTCTCTACTAAAAATACAAAAATTAGCCAGGTATGGTGCCAGGCACCTGTAATCGCAGCTACTTGGGAGTCTGAGGCAGGAGAATCACTTGAACCCGGGGGGCAGAGGTTGCAGGGAGCCAAGATTTCATCACTGCACTCCAGCCTAGGCGACAGAGCGAGAGTCCATCTCAAAATAAATAAATAAAAAAGAAAAAGAAAAGAAAAAAACATGTCAAATAAATACACACCAAATGTAGGCTGGTATTGTTACATAATATAAGGCAACACAACACAATGTTAAGACGAAAAGCTTAACCAGGGAAAAGATGTTCACTACACAGTGATAAAGGGAAAGCTCATGGGGAAAATCTTCCCATCTTAAACTTTTATTAATTTAATAAAACAACCTCAGAATATATTAAATTGTTAGAATTATAAGGAAAAATAGACTGATTGAAAAACATGGTGGGAGATTCTAGCACACGTCTCTCTGAATGTTTGGTAGATTAAGCAGAATAAAAAATAGAAAGGGCCAGGGATGTTGGCTCATGCCTATAATCCTAGCACTTTGGGAGGCCGAGGTGGGTGGATCACCTGAGGTGAGGTGTTCTAGACCAGCCTGGCCAACGTGGTGAAACCCCCATCTCTACTAAAACTACAAAAATCAGCCAGGCATAGTGGCAGGCACCTGTAATCCCAGCTACTCAGAAGGCTGAGGCAGGAGAGTCACCTGAGCCCAGGAGGTGGAGGTTGCAGTGAGCCAAGATTGCACCACCGCACTCCAGCCTAGGTGGAGACTCCATTTCAAAAAAAAAAAAAAAAAGAAAGGATGTAGAAGATTCACATAGAAGGATGCAGAAGGATGGAGAACAGCATAGTTACCAAGGGGTTGGATGGATAGATAGATAGATGATAGACAGATGATAGATAGATAGATACATTACATATATACATAGATGACAGATAGATGGATAGATACTAGATAATTAGATGATAGATGATAGAGAGAGAAAATTATTTTTTAATGGTTTTTATGTATTTGAAAATAAAGTATATTTTCTAATTTGAGAATCCAGTAATTTTTTTTAATCCTGGCTGTGGGTAATATAAACAACACATAAGTGCGTCAGGATTTTGAGGTACTCTTCTCACTCTCAACAGCATTTGTCAGACTTTTATTAGAAGCATCATGTTTCACGCCACTGCACTCCAGCCTGGGTGACAGAGCAAGAACCTGTCTCTGAACAACAAACAAACAAAAAATTTTTTTAAAGAAGCAGCATCGTGTTCTGTTCAGGATACCCACTCAGAAGTGAAGGACAAGAATACAGGAAAGGCTACAGCAAAGGAACAAAGGAAACTTGAAAGTTTTGGAAAGAGACTCCTTCCATTCAAATCAGTGGCCAGGAGCTCATACAGACTTTTTTAAGAGGTTAAGATAAGAATTTGTTTACACTTTAGAACAAGATAATGGGATGTGGGAAGAATGCTCTTCACCGAGGTAAGCTCAAGCAGAAAGGAGAGGAATTTAAGGACAAGAAACATCTCTCAGAATCCAAGAAACCATGTGCAGGTAGCATTCCTGATGCCCTTGGGAACTGAGTCCCTTTTTCTGCCTCTCAGGGCCACACAACATTCCATCCATCTTCCGCTGCTCACTGCCCCACTCTCCTTCCTGTAGACCAGCTTCCTAGGTGCATCATTAGTGTGCCAGGGCCCCAGACAGCGCCCGCAGACCAAAGTCTACATGGCCTGCATTCCGGCAGCACTCTCTCTCATTTCCTAATTCCAAATGACTGGCAAAGAGCCAAGCCATGCAAGACTTAAGTTCCCAGACAGGGCAGAGTCAGGAACGCACCCGCCCTTATCACCCAAGGCCAGGAGGAGTGGCGGATTCTAATGGTGCACGGCCGTTTACAGCAGGAAAAGCTGTGGGCAGAGAAGCTGTAATAGACCTACCCTCTACATTGAGTAACGTGAATCGTTCTACTCAATTTCAAAGAAAGAAGTAAGTATGCCATTTGCAAGAAAAGATATTAAGGTTGATAAATGAGAAGAACAGACTTAGTGGAGGAATTGTAATCACTTTGATATTCATTCAACTAGCGTTTATTAAACACTTACCGTGTGTCAGGGACTAAACCAGGCAAGGATGATACAAAGGTAGAAGGCCTGCCCACAAAGAATTCACACTGTCATAGAATACATTGCAAAGAAAAGCAATGCCATCACCTTCCCTAGAAAATGTAAGGATCAAGTCTTCTGGGGAACTTTAAATTCACTAGAGTCCAAGGCACTCCAACTATTCTTGAACGCCCCCTTGAAATGTCACTCCTCTCTTGCTTGTACGACTCTCTATGTGTGAGCCTTCGGTTTTTTGTGACTCTAGGAATAGCTACTTCATGTTAGGAAGCCACTTGTAGAAAGGCAGCTAGATCAAGCACCTTTGTATTTTGTTGTGTTTATTTTAACAAAGTTCAGAAGCCATTTAGTCAATTTTCTCTTAAAGTGTGTAGTATAGAGACCTAGGATTTACCAGCACACATGATCTAATACGACAAAGTCAGGGTGTCTTCAGCTTGTTACATTTTTACTACCATAGCCATCTGTTCTGCAGACAGAGTGCTGCTGGGTTTGTACAGTAGCCCCTTGCTCTGGGCTGCTCAGAGAGCATCACAAACATATTAGTCCTAATGCACGACTACGTTTCAGATGCTAGGAAATAAAATATTATTTTCTGGTGGCACAGAATTCGTGGGGAAAGAATCCCGGGCTCCTAATTTCCAGTCTCAAGTGAGAAACAAAAAACCCACAGCCCAGGCACTATCCCAGATCACCTGCTTCTAATTACCCCATTTTGTGGCGATGAGTTACTCATTAAGCTCAGTCTGGAGAACAGAACCAGAAGAAGCAGAGGTAAAATTTATTTTCCTTAAAAGGGTCTGGAGGGCACTCAGCGCAGTCCTGCAGGGACCCCAGCGATGACAGTCTCGGTTCCTCTCGTAGCTTCGCCACCGATAAGCTTTGGAGTGCCTCTGTACAGAGCTGGCCAGAACCCAGTTTGCTTGGGCCTTAGATTATTGGTCATAGAAACCCCTCCAAGTGGCTTGTTTGCATGCCACGTCTCTTTGATTGGTTGAGAGGGCTCAAGGGAGTTCAGTGGGAAAAGAAAGCTGGGTGCTTAATACAAATTAACTGGGACTTTGAGGAGTTCACTCACTGGAGTGTGAAATCTGATCTCACACAAGCCCATGCTGGAGCCCTTCCAGGGGGGTTCTGTTACCAAAAGCAGCAGACAAGCTGTTTTCTAGCATAGCTCCCTTATAAGCCAGCCCTGCCTGCGCACCCTGAGGTCAATGATGGAACGACGCCCAAACGGGGGCTCAGCTGAAGTGCCACTTGCCTCTCCTTGAGAAAGAACCTCCTCAGAGTTGACAGTTTTGACCATGGCTTCATTTCCACTGTTCTATTCCGAGAATTTGTCATCATGAAAGTTGTTTTTCCAAAAAGATAGATGGATTCAACTTGATGCAGAATTACATTGAATAAAGTCCACTGTACTTTCTAATTTATTTTTTCTGAGAACAGCTACAACGCATCTTACCAACCACCTTTCTGGCCAGGAAGGTCAGTGAAATGTGCCTTGAAACTTCCACATTGTGGTTCCACCGTACTTAACCGTAAGACCTTGGAAAACTTATTTAATTTACGTAAGCCTATTTCCCCATCTGTGATATTAGGACAGTAACACTACCCATCTCGTGGTTGTAGATTAAATGAGAAAATGTAGGCATCTGGCAACCACCACAGTAATAATTGTTTCAAGCAAAGAATCATCAACAAATGCTAAAACTAGTGGGTGAAGGTAGGATAGAAAGTAGGCTGGGAAGCAGATATTTACATAGCCTCAAAGAATCTCTTCAAGAGATACCAATTAATTACAAAGTGAAAAATACTAACGTTACAGAGAAGGAAATGGCCAGACATCACCCTAGTCAAGGGATCAAAATTAATGACACCCACACTAATGGACAGAGGCGTAGCACACTCCTCCTGACACACAGGATTGAGAACACAGCAGCAGAACCACCTGCCAACATTGCATCTGGATTAGTCCATTTTCACACTGCTGATAAAGACATAGCCAAGACTGGGCAATTTACAAAAGAAAGAGGTTTAATGTACTCACAGTTCCACATGGCTGGGGAGGCCTCACAATCACGGCAAAAGGTGAAAGGTACATCTCACATGGTGGCAGACAAGGGAAGAGAACTTGTGCAGTGAAACTCCACCTTATAGAATCATCAGATCTCATAAGACTTATTCACTATCATGAGAACAGCACAGGAAAGACCCACCCCCATGATTCAATTACCTCCCACTGGGTCCCTCCCACAACATGTGGACAGTGGGGGAGCTACAATTCAAGAGGAGCTTTGGGTGGGGACACAGCCAAACCATAACAGCATCCCTGAATCGAAGCATGTGGAAACACAAGATAAACTCAGATCAAGAAAGAGTGCACAACATAACTCGCCTGTCTTCTTCAAAAATGTCAAAGTTACAGCAGCAGAGAGAATAATGACCCCAATAGTACCTGGAACTTGTGGAGAAGTTAGCATGCATGGCAAAAGCATTCTTATAGATGTACTGATTACCCTGGATGAGCTAGGCAGACCCAATCTAATCACATGAGGCCTTAAAGGGGCTTTCCCAGCGGTGGTCAGAGGTCAGACAGACGTAACAACATGAGAGGAACTCAACTAGCCATTGATAGCTCTGCAGATGGAGAAATGGGCCACACGTCAAGGAATGCAGGTGACATCTAGAAGCTGGAAAAGGCAAGGAAACAGATTCCCCACCCCCTAGAGCCTCCAGAAGGGAATTCTGCCCTCCCCACACCTTTTTTTTTTAAGCCCAGGGATACCATCTTGGACTTCTGACCGACACAACTGTAAGGTAATAAACTTTTGTTGTTAAAGACACTAATTTTATGGTAAATTGTTACAGCAGCAATAGAAAACTAATACAGTCATGAAAGACAAAGAATGAGAAACAGGCCAGGTGCTGCAGCTCACGCCTGTAATCCCAGCACTTTGGGAGGCCAAGGCAGGTGGATCACTTGAGGCCAGGAGTTTGAGACTGGCCTGGGCAACTTGGCAAAACACCGTCTCTACTAAAATACAAAAACTAGCTGGTCATGGTGGCTCACACCTGTAGTCCCAGCTACTTGGGAGACTAAGGCATGAGAATCACTTGAACCCAAAAGGTGGAAGTTGCAGTGAGCCAAGATCATGCTGCTGCACTGTAGCCTGGGCAACAGAGCAAGACTCTGTCTCAAAAAAAAAAAAACAAAAAAAGAACAAGGAACTGTTGCAAATTAAAGGAGGCTAAAGATGCATGACAACTAGATACAAGGTGTGATCTTGGATTCAATCACGGATCAAAAAGAGACATTAGTGGGGCAACTGGAAAACTCTGAGATCTTTAGCACAGCAAATACTCTTGTATCAATGTTAGTTTTCTGATTTGGGTTATTGTACTGGTCATGGAAAAAAATGACCTTGTTTTAGGAAATACACACTGAAGTATTTAGAGGTAAAGGAGCATCATGTCTGCAACTTATTCTCAAATGTTTCATATATATATGTTGTGTGTGTATGTAACACACACACAACATATATACATATGGAGAGAGAAAGAGAGAATGAGAGAGAAGTGTAGTAAAATGTTAGCATTTGGTAAGTCTGTGAAGAATACACAGGAATATTTTATACTATTATTGCAACTTTTGTGTGTCTTAAATTTTGCAAAATGAGAAATTTGAAATACAGAAAAAGTAACAAATGTATGTAAAATACTTAGCACCCTCCTTGACACTCAGCAAATTTTCAGTGAATCTTGACTTTGGTTGAGCTTTCAGAGTTTAGCATCTATGCCCTCCTTGCCCATGGCAGGAGTGAATCAACGCACAGACCTGGAGCCGGACTGGGTTTCCGTCCCAGCTTTGCCACTTACTGGTTGTGTGTGACTTTGGACAAGACATTAGCCAGTCTGATCTTCAGTTTTTCCATCTATAAAAAGCCAGTAATATCTATGCCATTAGGTTGTGAGGATTCAATGAACTGATTTATGTGAAGTACATAGAACAAGGCTGGGCCAGTTATAAGTTCTGTATAAGGATCGCTTGAGCCCAGGAGTTCAAGACCAGTTTGGGCAACATAGTAAAACCCTGTCTCCAAAAAAAATAAAATAAAAAATTTAAAAAAAAAATTTAATTAGCCAGGCATGGTGGCACACACCTGGGGACTCTGATCAGTCCAGAATGGTGAGAGAATAGTGGGAGAGATGGCTAAACAGGGGGCTTGGAGGTGGCAAAGAAGAGGGAGGCCAGCCTAGGGCACCAGCATAAGCCCAGGTACCTGGGCTGGACTCCGAGCAGGAAGGTGGAGTGTGATAAGCAAGACAGGATGCCCAGATCCTATCCAGTTCACTCAGATTTCGGTATCTAGCTGCTATTTGTCCTGTGTGTGTTTAATGACTAGGAATTCAGTGCCACTCTGTGCAGATTGCTGAATCTAGAACCATCATGGATATCTGTGAGTAATAGATGATCCTTGCCCTCAAGATACTCAGATTTTAGTAGAGAAGAGAGGCATCCTTTGCAGTAATTGAAGAGTATCAACCAGAGCTGGGAGGAGGGTGGAGAGCTGAAAGGGAAGTCATCAGTCTCACATTCTGCGATGAGTAACAGCATGGGATCTTTGGTACAGAAGATGTTAGGGACATGCTGGCTCTTAGAAGCAGAAAATGACTGGCTGTGCTAGAGAAAGATTACTTGTAAATCCCTAACCAGTGGTAGAGCTGTACTATGCATCATTCTGGTTTCTAAGATAGTCCACAAACTGCAAAAAAGCAGAGGGATCTCCCCTCACCTTCCAGGCAAGCAACTAAATATTTTCCCTCTTTTACAGGGCTCAGCACACCAAAGCTCTTCATTATGTGATGAACTCTGGGTGTTTCTGAAAATATGGACAGACCATAAAAAATCTCAATGTGATTCAGGCAATATGTTGCACTAAAGATACTTCAGCCTCTTTATTCTAAAAGATCAATTATCATCTATTAGTTCAACAATTCTCATCCCATCAAAATTTAAAAATAAAAAGATTTTACATGACTAACGAGCTACTCCTCTCTGTTGGGTCATAATCTTCATTTTAAAGTGTCTGTATTCACAAGAGCAGGGTAAACTGACCTCACGATGTCATTGTTACTGACTTTGTGGTAATTAATGGGAATTTTTCAAATTGTCTGAATCTCTATTTAAATGATTTATATAATGGACTTTCACAGTTGCTGTTACAATCTATCGCATTGTAGTGAAGTAACTTAGATGTGTTTATTACCAATTTATAGGGAATAGAGCAGACTAGAGGTGATAAAACTTTTTTTCTTTCTCGGTTTTCTTATAGTTCTAACATTCTGTGATTGGAATAAGCAGGACAGACACATCTTAGCACATGAGACATTTGTAGTCTAAAGCCAAAGTTATTTTTATTTTAGGTGCTGGCCAGTCCCCTGTGATTTATGACATTATTTCACTACAAATTGCTGTAAGGACAACCACTGCTCACCCATGAAGTGTTCTACATTTACCCATAAATTTTCAGGAATTAAACAGTGTGTGTGCCAGGAATGACTGCATACTGTTTGCCGTTCCCTCCAACTTTGTAAAAACAAAAGAAGGTTTTAGGAAATTGGGGTTTCAGAGTCCACCTTGAGAAAAGAGGAGTGATTCAAGCTAGTATGTGTGTGTCTTCATTACATCCCAAAGCAGACACACGGAGATACGAACGATGTTCTCCCATCCATCAGTATGGCAGGAAGTCTGAAGTAGTGGAGCAGAGTTTTTGGAGCAATATCAGCTCCTTTAGGGTTAAGACCAAGTCTTATTCAAATTTCTTATGTCCTAGGCCTATTGCATTGAGTGCCTAGAAAAAGGTAGTTGCTCAATGAATATAGAATTTGAATTAATCTACATAAGTGTTTAAGCTGTGTAATATGTATTTGAAAAATAAAATCAATATCCAAAAAAAATCTTTATTTGAAAGGTGCATGCAATAGGGAAGTTTTTGCAAATTATAAGATATTTGAATATGATTTGAGGTCTTGAGGGTAATGCCATTTCGAATTCTTAATATCCTAATTATCTTTCATGTTTCTTAAATATTGTAAATAAGCAAAATGATAATTTTTATCTGACATACACTGAGAGAAAATAAAGAAAACAACACTTTTAAAACACAGAGTTCTATATAATGATTAACAAACACAGTATTTCCTATTTCAAGCAAGCTCAATATATGAAAATGTGGATTTTTCTAGATATATGGGAGTTCTTTTTACCACTATTTTTACTTATGTAAAAATGCATTTAACGTTTTTTAAATTAAAAACAAGTTTTAAGTTAAAATGGTTGAGTTTTGCTCATCAATTGTGTTACAGAAGGATTTACCCAGGATTGTAGTACCCACAAAGCATTATTTTTCTAAATCAAAGCATTAAATTTTTTACCACGTACCCTCCTTTTGAAGTTCATTTTTTTCTTTCCTATTTTACAAATTAATAAAATTTAAATTGTCCTTATCTTTGTATATCTAAAAATGTCTCCTTTTTTATACCCAGTCCATTTTTCCTTATCATATTTATTTAGGAATAATTTATATACATGAACTGAAACCATTTAAATGAGTCTCATTAGATACAAATACTCATAAAACACCCACCACAATAGAGATACAAAACATTTCTATCACCCCAGAAGATTCTTGGTACCCATTTGCAGCCCATCATTGCCCCTACCCTAGCCCTGGGCAACCATAGATCTGCCTTCTGTCACTACAGAATTCTCCACGGTTTATATAAATGAAATAATACAGTATGCACTCGTTCGTATCTGGCCTCAGCATGACTGTGCATCTGTAATTCAGCATGATTTAAAGATTTCTCCATTGTTGCTGTATGTTTCAGTAGTTTGTTCCTTTTTGCTGCTGAGTAATATTCTACATATTGGATATACAATATATTGTTTATTTATCAGGTGATAGATATTTGGAGTTATTCCAGGTATTAACTATTATTACTAAAGCTTCTATGAATTTTTTTATGTAAGTATTACTGTAGACATACATTTTCCTTTCTTTTGGGTGAATACTTAAGAGTGGAATGATCCTATGGTAGCTGCATGTTTAACTTTTTAAGAAACTTCCAAACAGATTTCCAACACTGCTGTACAATTGTATATTCCTAACAACAGGTTATGAGAATTCCCTTTGTCCTGCAACATTGCCGACACTTGGTTTTGTCAGTATTTTTAATTTTAGAAGTTCTAGTGGGTAAATAATGGTTTGTCATTGTGGTTTTATTTTTGCATTTCCCTGATGGCTGAGGACATTAGACGTCTTTTCACATATTTTTTGTCCAGTCATTCTTCTTTTGTAAAGTATTCAAATATTTTGTCTATTTTATATTCAGTTGTTTGCTTTCTAATATGAAATTTAAGAGTTCTATGTACTCTGCATACAAACTATTTGTCAGATATACGGGTAGCAAATATTTTACTTCACTCTGTAGTGCTTTTTTTTAATAGGGTCTCACTCTGTCACCTAGGCTAGAGTGCACTGATGCAATGACAGCTCAGTGTAATCTCAAACTCCTGGGCTGCAGCAAACCTCTCTCCTCAGCCTCCTAAGTAGCTAGAACTACAGGTGTGAGCCACTATGACTGGCTTAAGCTTTTAATTTTCTTAACGGCATCTTTTGGAAAGCAAAAGTTTTTAATTTTGATAAAGTTCAATTATTAGTTTTGGGGGGTTATGTTTTATGCTTATTTGTGTTCTAGCTGAGGAATCTTTATCTTTCCCAGGTCACAAAGCTTTTCTCCTATGTTTTCTTCTAGTTTCGTGGCTTTAGTTTTTCTGTTTAAGGCTATGGTCCACATTGGGTGTTTTCATATCATTTTTGTTGTTTTCTTTTTCTACTTTTTACGTGCTCTGAAAAGATGATTTAGCCAGATGCAGAATCTAACTTTGTAGTTGTTTCCCTTCAGCACTTTTTTTTTTTTTTTTGAGATGAAGTCTCACTGTGTCACCCAGGCTTGAGTGCAGTGGCACAACCTTGGCTCACTGCAACCTCTGTCTCATGGGTTCAAGCGATTCTCCTGCCTCAGCTTCCCTAGTAGCTGGGATTACAGGCCTGTGCTGCCACACTCAGCTAATTTTTGTATTTTTAATAGAGACAGGGTTTTGCCATGTTGACCAGGCTGATCTTGAACTCCTGACCTCAGGTGATCCACCTGCCTTGGCCTCCCAGAGTGCTGGGATTACAGGCATGAGCCACCATGCCCGGCCATCCCTTCAACACTTTTAAGATATTATTCCATCATCACCTGGCATCTGATGTTGCTATCAGTCTGATTGCTGTTCCTTTGTAAGTAATCTATATTTCTCTCTGGTGCCTTTTAATTTAGTTCTTTTTTCTTGTCATTCTGCAGTTTTACTAGCATGTATCTAGGTGTGAGGTGGTTTGCTCTGTTTGACAAACAAAATGCCCTTTTAATGCCAGGATTAGGTCTACCTTTAATTCTAGAAAAGTCTTAGCCATTACCTTTTCAAATATTGCTTCTCTCCTATTCTTGCTATGGTGTTTTAGAAATACCTGTTGTAACAACTTCAATTTCTCAACTTACCTTTCATTAAAGGTCCCTCTTAATTCACCTTTATCTCTCAATGCTGCATTCCAGGTGATATGCAAAATTCTGGCTTCTCTCTCAATTTCTTCAACTATATATTCAGTTCAGTATTTCATTTACAACGGTTGCTTTTTTGAGGCCTCTATTTTTCATTTGCAAGATTTCTAATTGGTTTTTATTTATATTCATCTACTCTTGATATCATTACCTACTTAATTTATATTTTATAGTTGTTGCTTATCATATTGAAGATTGTAAATGTATTTACTTTAATGTAAGTTTCAGATTCTTCTATTATTTGTAGTTTTCCAGGCATAAATTCTTCCAATTTTGTTTGAGAGTTCATACTGCAAGGGAGTTTCCTACCTAACAGCCATTCCCCACTTCTTCACTAATAAAACCCAGTTTTATCTCGAGTATCAATGTGTCCAGCCAACAGGTGATCCAAGACACACCTGCTCTAAGACAATTGTTACTATTTGTTTCCCTTTGCCAGATGTTCAATTTCCCAGCCTCCTCTGTGACCAAGTTCATCCTAACAATATACGATGGAGATTCTGTTTGGGAGTATCTGAGAAGACAGGAATCACACGTGATACCTGGAGCTGCAGCAGCCGTCTTATGACCTAAGGCAACAAACAGCAAACTAAGCAGAAAAGAGAATGTTAGAGGGAGCCTGGATCCTTCATGGCATTGTTGAGCTGCTAGACCACCCTAAGGCAGCCCACCTCCATTCTCTTTTTATTAAGAAAATCATTAATGTCTGTATGGTTTAGGCCACAGTCACTTGCTGCTAACATCATTCCACACTGGTACAGGAGGCTTTTCCCCTCCCTAGGCTGGGATGCCTCAACATCAGAAGCTCAGAAGTATAGCCTCACCGTCCTGGGTCTTTATGGTTCCCAACCTTAAGCCAGGACAGAACTTGGTCCACCTCGTGGTCACACAAGTTCCACTGCTTCCACCTCTGCCACAGCTAGTAAGCAGCTGGTTTACTTACTATGCCTAGTAAGTATATAAACCTGCTGAAACCCCAGGTGGGTTAGCTGGAGTTTCCTCCACTTCCAATCACCTGCATAGAACCACAATCCCAGCACTGACTTCATGACAGCAGCCTGAGGTGAGACTGCACTCACCCTCTCTGTTCCACTCCCACTTTGAAATCCTAGATACCAAACAGGCTACCTTCTCCCCGCCTCCCACAGGCCTCCAGCCTCAGCCAACACTCACTGCTGTGGAACTCTGGTCCTAGACTTCCCACTTTTCCTTTAGCACAGCTATGCAGCTCTAACTTTTGTTTCTAAGTTGTCCCTAATTTGTGTATGTATGGAACAGAACTTTCCACATCTACTCATTTTGACACCTTGCCTGAAAGCTATCCCAATGCATTTTTAACTGTTATATTTGGGCTTTTTACAAATAGGCCTACTCTTGTAAAAATTTAGAAGCACAGAGAAATGTAAAAATAAAAATCAACATTAACCCGCCACCACTATTAACATTAAGATACATTTCTTTCTAGTCTTTTTCTATGCATATATATAAACATACTGTTTTATAAAATTGTGGCATACTTATAGACTGGGTTATATCTTACTTTTTTGTTTAATATAAACATTTTCATATATATGTAATATCGATCTATCATAATTTCCTGACTCTCCTATTATGGATATGTTATTGTTTTTAATTTGTACCCACCATACATAATGTTGCATTATAAATATTTCATTATTTCCTTAGGATGAAGTCCTAGAAGTAGGCTTACCAAGACAAAGGGTATGAACATTTAAACATATAGATACATATTGCCAAAGCATTCTCCCAACAAATGTTTATCCTCTCAAATTCTGAGTTTAATAATGTTTCAAACTTGCCAATCTGATAAACAAGAGTCAGTGTTCTTTTAATTTACATTTCTTTGATAGTCATAAGTTTGAACATTTTTTATGATAATTAGCCATTTGTCTTTCCTTCCAGTGCATTTTAAATAACATTATATTTACAACTTTGCAGAAACAGCTATTCCACAAATTAAATCAAAATACCTCTTTGTGCATAGTAAGTATATAAACCAGCCTCAAAATTGTCCATGTTTATATCTGTTTTATAATAGATATCTCTATTTTTCAGGTTGAAATGTCGTCTTCATTTTACTTTGGGTTCAAATTCTAACTGGACTCAGTCTTTAGGTAATTTACAGCCAAAGGTGTGGGAATGTAGAGAAGACATGTATATGAACACAAGTGACAAAATTACGTGTGTGCGTGTGTGTGCATACATGTTTATGTGTATGTATAGTCAACAACAACATATGGGTCAATGGCAGACCACATATATGAAGATGGTCCCATAAGATTATGATGGAGCTGAAAAATGCCTATCACCTACTGATGTCATAGCTGCCATAAAGTCACAGGGCAATGCATTACTCACCTGTTTATGGTGATGCTGGTATAAACCAACCCACTATGCTGCCAGCCCTATAAAAGTCTAGCACATACAATTATATATAGTACGTAATACTTGATAATAAATATGTTACTGGTGTATGCCTTTACTATACTATAATCATTAGAGTATATTCCTTCTGCTTTTTTTAAAAAAACAAAACAAAACAAAAAGAACTGTAAACAGCCTCAGGCAGGTCCTTTAGGAGGTATCCAGAAGAAGGCATTGCGGCCATAAGAGACGACAGCTCCATGTGTGTTACTGCCCCTAAACACCTTCCAGTGGGACAAGATGTGGGGGTAGAAGACAGTGATATGGATGATCCTGACCCTGTGTAGGTCTAAGCTAATGAGTATGTTTATGTCTTTGTTTTTAGAAAAAAAAGTTTTGAAAGTAAAAAATAAATTTAAAAACAAAAAAAAAAGCTTATAGGAAAGGATATAAAGAAATATTTTTGTGCAGCTATACCATGCGTTTGTGTTTTCAGCTGTGTTATTACAAATGAGTCCAAAAGTTTTTAAATTTTTAATTTTATAAAGTTACAGTGAGCCAAGGTTAATTTATTGTTGAAGAAAAAAATTTTAAATTAACTTAGTGTAGCTTAAATGTACAGTGTTTATAAAGTCTACAGTCATATGCAATCATGTCCTGCGCCTTCATATTCCCTTATCACTGACTCACTGACACCCAGGGCAACTCCTAGTCCTGTAAGTTCCATTCACGGTAAGTGCCCTATACAGGTGCACCATTTTTATATTTTATACTGTATTTTCTCTGTACCTTTTCTATGTTCCCACGTGTGTAGATACGCAAATACTTACCACTGTGTTACAATTGCCTACAGTATTCAGAACAGTAACAGGTGTTACCAGTTTGTAGCCTAGGAGCAATAGGCTCTACCATATAGCCTAGGTGTGTAGCAGGTGGTACCATCTAGGTTTAGTAAGTACACTCTATGAGGTTCGCATATCATTAAATCATTTAACAACACGTTTCTCAAAATGCATCTCCATTGTTAATCGACACATGACTGTATATATACAACACGCACGCAAATAATTCATATGTAATTAACCACAGGCGTAAACGACTTTTAATCTGTGTACTTCAATGTAATTATGTATTTCCATGATCTCTGGTCATGTACAAATTTGCTTTGAAATCCATTAAAAATTGCATTTAAAAATGTTACCATTTTGGCCCGGAGCAGTAGCTCATGTCTGTAATCCTAGCACTTTGGAAGGCCGAGGCAGTGGATTGCCTGAGCTCAGGAGTTCGAGACCAGCCTGCACAAACTGGTGAAACCCAGTCTCTACTAAAATACAAAAAATTAACCAGAGTGGTGGTGGCACCTGTAGTCCCAGCAACTTGGGAGGCTGAGGCACAAGAATTGCTTAAACCTGGAAGGTGGAGGTTGCAATGAGCAGAGATCGCTCCACTGTACTCCAGCCTGGGCAACAGAGTGAGACTCCCTCTTACAAAAAAAAAAAGAAAAGAAAATTTTACCATTTTGTCTCATAAACCACAAATCAAATCTAAGACTCATCTTAGAATGAACTAAAGACAAATGCTATGTGGTTGACTTAAGACTCACCCCTTCATACGTTCAACGATAATGCAACGGCTTTACATCATGTCTATGGAAACTGAAAAAAATATTCAGGGAGATTATTAGGGGAAAGATGAGTTCAGTTGTAGGTAGATTTTAAGAGTGTCTGTGAGGAGATGGGCCCCTCCTCTGCGGAGAGGCGCGAGAAAGGCCTTGGGTTTGGGAGAAGCCTGGAGGTCATGGTCGGGTGCAAGGGTGTAGCAGACCCGGTTCGGATCCTGGCTCAACCGTGCCCCTGGTGCATCCTTGCGCGAGGGACCTGACATCTCCGTGGATAACGGGTTAATAATAGCAGCCACCTCACAGTTTAGCTTTCAGGAGGTAATACCCATGCATGAAGCAACTCAGCCCAACGTCCGGCATATGTTAGGCGCTCAGGAGTTGTTGCTCTTACCTATGAACAGTGGTGATGTGCGATGACCACAGTGACGCTCGCGGGAGACCGGGCTGGGCCGGCGGGCAGCCAGAGAGCAAGGTCCAGGCACAGGGGCCCCTGGAGGTGGGGCCAAGGCTGCCATGGAAAAGGAGCTTTAGCGCAACGCCTGCAGCTGACTCGTGTTTTGCATTAGGAAGCGTTTCACTGCCTAACGACGGATCACCTGGCCCAGCCTAAGGAACTGCAGCCTCGCAGATCCACGGGACCTGCGCGCAGGGCTCCAGGTGAGGGCCGAGCGCGGCCCCCACAACCCGGAGCCCGGTTCCCGGGCTAGGATGTGTCTTAATAGGGTGACTTGTCAGGTTTGAGGTAGGCTGGTGGGGACAGACAGGGAACAGTGTCCTGCGTGCTTAGACCAGGGCTGTTCACATTTCTGGATTTGGTCCCACACTTATCACAAACAATTAGGCGTCATCGCCTGTGTGTCTGAATGTGGCACTGGCTTCTCAGATGACAAATTTCTTCGTGGTGGTAGCAGTGCATCTCTAAGGCGTCCTGAAGCATCCTAGCGTTTCTAAATTTCAAGATACCCTGTTTCTCCAAAACTTTGTTTGGCAGGTGTCTGAGTGCTCGCACCCGGGTCTACTAAATAACGCACCTGCAGGAGCACTTAGCATCCAAAGAACCATCATGATCATGGTTTCGGAAGTCTCGGATACTCCCAGGGAATGGGAAGAAATCCTGCTGTATGAACCTCCCACCCAAGTCCGCTCATCACAGATTTGCTTCCCATTTGCCAAATTTCGGTGGAATTTACATTAACTCAGAGTTAGGAAAAATCCTTTACCAGATTTTGTTGGTTTATTATTTAAAACAGTGTAAATCAGTGTAGTTCCTCCTCTATTCCTTTCTGCTTTTGGACACGCTGAAATACACAAACATTTAAATTATTGGGCCAGTTTCTTAACATACTTCTTTTCTCTCAGTGGAGACCTAGAAAAATAATACCAAACAGTGAAGATGAAAATTTGATCTGATATTTCAACCAGTATTTTAAACCCATTTCTTGATCATTACCAAAGTATTTCACAAAAGAATCAGCCCAAGGAAACTGGAGTTATTCTTTCACTTTTTTTTTTTTTTTTTCATGAAAAAAGCCTAAATAGACGTGTCTTGAAATTGTTCTTCACATCTTCTGGTCAAGTTACAAAGTCTCCCTCCAGTCAGTCTTGTGTATCTCAGATCTGGCTAAGTGGAGGACCTGGGTGTCTGTCTCCCTCAAGCCTATTTTAATCATTTGTAGCTGGAACTTTTGTTAATAAAACTTAGTTTAAGTGCTTCTTAAATAGAAAGGAACCATGATGGGGCCATGGGAGGGCCTAGGTGTGAAAGGCATCAAAGTTAAATCTTGTGATCTTAGTTGCCTCATCAATTAATATAAGATGCCATTAGTAATAATAATGCAAGCTTCAAAAGATTTTGTCAGAACTAAGAGCATATACATATATATTCCTATATATAGGAATATACAAATATATAATATTACTAAGAATATATAAATATATTATAAATAATATATACAGTATATTACTAATAGTATATATAGTATATATATTGCTAATATATATTTATAGCGTATATATTCCTATATACTTAGAATATATATATTTTTTTCTTTTTTCCTCTTTGAGAGACAGACACTCATCGCCTAACATGCAGTAAGGGTTCAATCATTGCCTCCATCCTTATTTTTTCATTACTGTGACCTCCTTTTTTGAAATCAGAACAACGGATTTTTCATCAGAGGGTCTTGAAAATTCATGATCTATGTGCATAGCTACTACCACACCTCCGACTTCCACTCCAGAACACTCACTCTAACCTCAGCTCTCTCACCTTGTAAGGGCTCAGGCTTGTAGCCAGAGGTACTTAATAAATCTTTGTTGATGATAAGCCAATATGTTTCATATCATGGCAGCTTTAAATGGCCCTGCCTCACTTAAATAAGGGCCAGAAGCACGGAAAACAACCACCAGAGTTCTGGCACCCTCTCTGGATTCCATCCGGACCACCTCTGAGGCACAAATTATTCCCTGGGCAAATCTCACACCCATCTTCATCCCAGGTGGTTCTCTGAGCGTTCTCTGGGGAAGGCGCCTCAGTTCCTGATGCACAGTCAGGGTCTGCTTGCCTTTGTGGTCCATGTTAAACCCACCTTTCCAGTGCAATCTCCAGCCTCTCCCCTTGCTCATGGTTCTGGCGTTTGTCCCCTGCTCTCTCACCCAGCAGCCATGGAGGAGACCTACCCCTCCTATTTCCCCAATATAGGGGAGAAGAACCAGACACTCAGGCACTTCAGGACAACGTCAGGTGTGGTGCAACCAAATAATGCCAAAGAATGCTTTCCAGAAAGATTGGATGCAAGAGTGGCCCAAATGGGCTAGAACGCGGACGATCTGAACTGGTCATCTGCAGGTGGACACAGGGCTGGGCTCGGAGCATGAAACCAAGTCCCGGGATGGCCGAATGAGGACTTGGCACACAGGGCCAAGAGTCCAAAGATGAACCAAAACCAGGAAGCTGTTGGAGCTGTCAAATCTTCTGCCAAAGATCCAGACCCAGCCCAAACTCAAAGGGCTGCTCTTGGTCAGGGGAGAACAAGTGATCCGAGGGAGTCGAGTAGGCACTCGGGTGGTGTCAGCGGGGCTGAGTCCTGCAGATGCTGGGGACAGGACGGAGAAGCACAAGGCTGTCATTTTAGAAGCACCGAGGACAGTGCAGGGCCAGGTCCTCTCAGAGGCTCCTGCAGATGAAGAAAAGGGTTGGTTCAGAGCCAAAGGCAGAGCTGAAGCCACAACTTCCAGGTTTAAGTGCTGACTCGGGATGGGTGCTGGAACATGCACCAGGCAAGCCATTCTATAATGTGTATCTGCATGTCTGCAGGTTGCATGGTTGTCACTGAGGAGCTCTCTCCGACTGGGGCCCAGCCTGTACCCTGGCAGATGGAGCAAGGTCCAGGGGAAGGCCCTGAAGCCTAGGAGCACTGGGATTTCTCTGTGGGCCCCTCCTCTGCCAGAGCAGCCATCTTTACCAAAGGGAGAGAACACGGAGGGCTGGTGGGAAACCAGGGAGAGTTTATGGGCTCACCAGCTGTCTGAGCAGCAGGCAAGCAAGTCTGTCTAAGCTACAGGACTTCAGAGGCAGCCCATACTCCAGACTTCCCAGACCTCTCCTAGAGGATGTGGGCAGGCAGGAAACATATCAGCAGCTTGGTAAGACACCAAACACAATCAGAGGGGAAGGAGGAAGTGGGTAACGCCCAAGCACACATAGGCTTGATGGTAGAGGTGGCCATAAAACTCACTGAGGAGACCCATTCTTATTTCCCCCTAAGGCCATCTTACCATCCCCAGGCAAGAACGGTGCTAAACAATGGCTTCCAAGTGCCCATTCCGGAGGCAGACCATCATTGCCATGAGGCAGACCATCACTGCCATTAGCCCACGCTTGCGCACTGCATCCTCTCTGCTCACAAGGGGTAAAAACACAGGAACTCCTGCTTAATGCTGGTTTTTCATTTGGCTCTTTATTCTTATCTGTTCTTGATTCAATGACCATTTGCAGTTAGATTTTTTACCTAAATGGATGATGGTCACCATTTTTTTAGTTACCCCATCTCCAGGGCTTTGACTGCACAAAACTTACATCCAGCTCTTTAGCTAAAGTTAGATTCACCTTGTGTCTTGGCTCTTAAGATTTCAACAAGTTGTCTGGCCTTGCTTGAACTCATAGCTCTGCAAATACAAGGTCTATTGGAAATCTAGAGTTGTCACCTTTTTCCCCTGGGCAATCAACTGTACAATCACAAGGAATGTTCGCGATTGCTATTACTGTAACTCTCGGAACACAGGCACCATAAAACTCTGCTGAATAAAAAGAAGAAAAAGACTCATAACTTAAGAAGCTGCCAGGGTTTAAAGTGTGGCCTTCAGAAGCCCAGGACTGCTGAGCCACTAACGCCTGAAACGCTTGAGTCTGAAAAGAGACATAATGTATATTAGCTTTCTCAGCAAAAGCACTTTAGCCAACTCTGTTTTCATATTCCTCAACTCAGTTCCTTTGAAAATGAAAGTAAAAATAAAGCAATACTCCTTATAATTTCCTCAAGACCTTGGAGTGTGGGTTAAAGAAAATCTGCTGATTCTGCTGACCTCCGCGAAGGTGTCGTGGGGGCGGGGAGGAGTCACTGCATTTGGGTCTCGTGCGGGTCCCTAAGAGCTGGGCTTTGCCTGTGCTTTCGATATTTTCTTTCAAACTTGCCATTTTGCTGCTGCAGCTGGGCTTGTCAGTTTTCAGTACTAATGGGTTGTGATGGGGTGTCAGGGGAAGTCAACAATCAATGCTTGAAAAAAACTGGTGGGGGCCGTTGTGGGGTGGACCATCACTGCTGACATGGCCAGGAACAGAAATACAATGGCCTTCTTTTGTAGAAAAATAGACAAGAAATACTACACTGTGTTTTGCTTTTAAGATTAGTATAGATTTTTATCCTTTGATGACTGGGTTGTCTGCCCTTCCCCCACTGTAAGTTTGGCTATCAAACAACATAGATTCTGGCTTTTAAATAAACCACTGTACAGTATAGTTAACATTACAATTCATGGTGTGAATTGGAGTTGTTTCTTGCAGGAAGATGAATGAAGATGGGGAAATGTCTGCCAAAACAGAGGCATGAAAGAAATGGTGTGAGATGGCCAGGCTCACCTTGTGAATAGGCCTGTTTTAGGAAAAACTCATTTAGACCCCAGTGTTGTGTGACAGTAGAATACCATTACAGTAACGTTCAGCATAATGATGCTAATGGGAAAAGCATCAGTGCCTGGCTGAAGTTTACATCCAGGGCAAGAAATCTCACTGAACATGTTTTTACTAATAATTCAGTAGAACCCTATTGTGACACTGGTATCAGAATGCAAGAACAATATTTGCCTCATGCGTTGTTTTACTCAAGTCATATATCAGGGATTATACGTGGAAAATGATTTGACCCTACTGTAATATAATCTGTGATAGCAAAGCACTTTCAAAACAGGGCTTTACTGTACTTATTGACGTGAATTCTACTCATGCCAAGAATCCCAGAGTGATAATCAAGTAAAATTGTTCTGAGTTAACTTTATATAACACTTGAGTTCCTGAAAAATTTGGGGTGACTCGGAGTAAAACTCAGAATCACATCCTTATCTATCCACTTTGTAAATTCAAATCTACACGTAACAGGTTTTCTTTTTTTTGTCGTTTGTTTTTTTTTTTGAAACGGAGTCTCGCTCTGTCGCCCAGGCTAGAGTGCAGTGACGTAATCTCGGCTCACTGCGAGCTCCACCGCCCGGGTTCACACTTAACAGGTTTTCTTAAAAGAAAGTTCATCTCTATTCATCTTTCTTTATAAAACTGAAAATTTTTGCCTGTAATCCCAGCACTTTGGGAGGCCAAGGCGGGTGGATCACTTGAGGCCAGGAGTTTGAGATCAGCCTGGCCAACATGGCGAAACCACCTCTCTACTAAAAATACAAAAATTAGCCGGGCGTGGTGGCAGGTGCCTGTAATTCTAGCTACTCAGGAGGCTGAGGCATGAGAATCACTTGAACCCAGGAGGCAGAGGTTGCAGTGAGTCAAGATCACGCCACTGTACTCCGGACTGGGTGATAGAGTAAGGCTCTGTCTCAAAAAAAAAGAAAAGAAAAGAAAATTTTTGTTGCAGAAAAAAAATGTGAACACAAAGTGTCTAAAGTTATAGTGAAATAAAAAGCAGCTTTGCTAATCCCATATTCTTGCCTGAACTGTGTTTGTTTCTTTCACCTACTTCACAATCTTACCCAGCCCAATTGTTACTCTCAATTTCATCATTTCTATATTATAAAGATGTTAATAAGCATATAGTAATGTAATGATTGCAGTAAAATAACACAAGTTTATTTTTTTTAAAAAAATCATCCACCAAGAAGATAGGGTGTACTTCTCCTATTTCTCCCACTAATTGCAACTAAAAACCCTAGACATTATATATGTATATAAATCAAACATAAGAAGACTTTGAAAGGTGGATGGAAGGAGGTAGACTGAATGGGGGACTTGGGACTCAAACAATGAGAGTGTTGAGTTCTCTGGGTTTTCTTTCTGTCTCATATAGCCTGGATTTGGAAAGGAAGAAGCTGGCAACACTGAAACCAATAGACGCAGACAAAAATAACACCAGCGAAAGTCTCACTGGCCTTTTTCTTATCTGCAGAAAATTATTGATCTTTGCTGATATGCTTGTTACATGTATATTAAATAGTAATTAACAAGGCCACGTCTCTGCAACGTAGGCTATTTTATAATGCGTGTTGCAAAAATGCCTGCCTGTTCTTGCTGATTGACACAGGAAGACTCCCCTTTCTTCTGGTGTGTGTGGCTCCAGGTCTTGTCTGCAACCTCATTGCTCAGAGCTCTGGTCCCGCGGGTCTCTGTACTCTGAACCTGGTTTCACAAGGGCACGGCTTGAGGAGGGGCTCATTGTGCAGCTTTAGTAGGAAGACAACCTTTCTGTTTGGGATTCAAGCTAAAAATGGATTCCACTGCCACAATTGCACAGCAACATCTATATCTTGCCTGTTAGTGTATTATGATTTAACATCTTCCCGAGTTACAAGAGTTCAGAAGATTACTATTTAGTCATCTTAGGCTTATCATTGTGTAGGCTATAAACGGTCAGAAAATCTTGAATGAACAAATAAATATCTATTGGCACCACAGCTCAAACAGAACTGAAAGTACGTACACATACACACACACACACACACACACACACACACACACACCCCAAACACTGAAAATGCTGAATAAACTATTTTTTAATGCATACTCAAAAGCAAGGAAAGAAAATTCCCTGATGTCAGGAAAAAAGAACAACTCAAAGAAAAAGAGGTGAGTGCAAGCTGAAGCCAAACAGATGACAGGGGCGTTGTAAACAGATACAGGCCTAACAGGCGTGGGACTCAAGTTTTAACGCCTGTACAGCAAAAGGAGATGAGGCCTTGGGCCTGTACAAGACAGAAAAGCTGAAACGAAACTCCTGTTTAAACTGGAAGCCATGAAGCTGTGCCTAGGTGGTGACACTGAGCTTAGAAAGTCGGTGCCTTGGTTTAGAGAATCAGCAAGGGAGCTTGCCATAGTGCAAGGGGTAGGAAGCCTCACCCATAGGAAGCTGAAGCCAGTGCCTGCTACACACATGTGTGGTGTTCACATCTGTATTACCTACATGAGGAGAGAACCCCAACCAAGAAATTAAGACAGGCACTGATCCAGCAATCCCACTTCTGTAAACATATCCAAAACAATTGAAAGCAGGGTCTCAAATAAATGTTTGAACACCGATGTTCATAGCAGCATTATTCACAATAGCCAAAAGGTGGTAGACACAAGTACTCAGGTGTCCATCAGTGGGTGAACTGATCAATAAAATGTGGTATATACATACAAGAAATATTATTCAGCCTCAAAAAGGAGGAAGATTCTGTCACATGCTGTCACATGGATGAACTTTGAGGACATTATGCTAACTGAAATAGGCCAGGTACAAAACGACAAATACTGTGTGATTCCACTTATATGAGGTAACTGGAGTAGTTAAAGCTCATAGAGACAGAAGGCAGAATGGTGGTGGCTAGGGGCTGGGGAGAGGGGAAAACAGGGAGTCACTGTTTAAAGGGTATAAAGTTTCCATTTTCTAAGATGAAAAAGTTTTGCAAATTGATTGCATAATACCATGAATATACTTAATGCTACTGAACATTACTATACACTTAAAAATTTTTAAGTTGAGCGAGGTGCAGTGGCTCATACTTGTAATCCCAACACTTTGGGAGGCCAAGGTGGGAGGACTGCTGGAGCCCAGAGACTTTGAAGGAGCAATAAGCTATGATTGTGCCACTGCACTCCAGCCTGGGTGACAGAGCAAGACCCTGTTTCAAAAACAAAAAATTGTTAAGATGGTAAACTTTAATTTAAAAATTAAAAAGAAAACTGGTACAGAACCAAGGAAACCTCTGGGCCCCACAGAAGAGCAAATGGAAAACAAGAATATCTAGACAAGAGCACGGTCGGGATCCCATGTCACCCCAGAAAATTAATCCCCACTGAAGATGAGCTCATGCGCAAAGATGACAAGCCACATAGGGAAATGAGTCACTGTGGAATAATCGGCAGAGGCAGCAAATGAAAAAAAATGTGTTCGCCGAGAGAGATAAAGCAAACATTCCTACCCAAGACACAAAAGATCATCTATAAACCGTAATAAAAGAACAGAAGACTGAGGAGGTTAGGAGACGGAGAAGGAAGAAGTAGCATTAAAGAATAAAGGACAAACTAAATAGGAATTACAGGAATAAGCAAATAGACCATCATTACAATTTTCAAAAAGAACATCATTGCATGGGTTAAACACTGGTCTAATTGATACTGGTGACGAATCCAGAGCGTGGAAAATAAAAGCAACACGTTTTATTCAGGCCAGACCTTTTCCAAGCCAATTGTATGATTTATGACCCAGGATGCAACACCCATTCTACAGCCAGACACAAAATAATATCAGGCATTCCTCTTGTTCATTCTCAAATATTCAAACTTTGGATCAGGCACTATTTTTAAGCCCTGGAAATACAGTTACGAATGAGACAGACAAGGTCTTTCTTCTTCTGGTTCTTGCATTCTAGTAGTTTGTTATCTAGAAGATAATAAATAGGCATAAATAAAATAATTTCAGATATTGATAAATATAAGGAAAAAAATAATACAGAACATAAGATAGAGAGTAATGGGGCTGTCATTGGGACCACCTTAGACTAGGTATCCAGAAAGGTCTCTCTATAGAGTTGGCATTTAAGCTGAGCTTAAATGAGAAGGTGCCAGTCAAGCCAAGATCTTTGAGAAGAGCAATCCAAAGGGAAGAAGAGTTGAGGACAAGGGCTCTGAGAAAAGAAAGGAGTACGAGCTTTTGGATTATGGTTTAGGATATACATAGTCGAAAGAAAGGAGAAGGATGTGTTCCATCAGCCATATAAGATGCCCTGGTTCAGATCCACCCAGTTACTTGCATTGCCATATTGCTATTGGTTCCCTTAAAGTTCAAGTTGTAACTGGGTTCTAGGATACAGTCTGGGAGAATCAAAGCCCCAGGCCAGAATTTCACTCCCAAGGCAGACACAGAACTTTGTTCTCCCAGAATTCCCTGGATGACTTTGTACTGCATATTGCCTGCCCCTGCATGAGGGAACAAGTGAGTTGATGCTAAGCACCCTCAAGCTCCATTTATTTTCTAAAACAACAGTGGTGACCTTCTGTAAAGGGGCATATAGTAAATAGTTTGGGCTTTGACGATCACATCGTGTGTTGCATGTGCCCAACTCTGCAATGGTAGCACAAAAGCAGCCAAGATAATACATAACCAAAGGTGTGTTGCTGTGTCCTAATGACACTTTTATAAAAACAGCCAGTACTTTGCCAACCCCTGCTCTAAAACAGTGGTCTTTAAAGATGAGCCTTGGGCTGGGCACAGCGGCTCACACCTGTAATCCCAGTACTTTGGGAGGCCGAGGCAGGAAGATCACCTGAGGTCCGGAGTTTGAGATCAACCTGGCCAATGTGGTGAAACCCCATTTCTACTAAAAATACAAAAAATTAGCCAGCATGGTGGCACACGCCTGAAGTCCTAGCTACTCAGGAGGCTGAGGTAGGAGAATTGCTTGAACCTGGGAGGCGGAGGTTGCAGTGAGCCAAGATCAGGGCATTGCACTCCAGCCTGGGCAACAGAGCAGAATCCGTCTCAAAACAAACTAAAACAAAACAAAACAAAGCAAAGATGAGCCTTGGGATGTGGTGGGGGAGAAATGTTAGTACTTTTATTTTATGATTTTTATCCACCCCACCAAAAGAAAGCCAGAAAGACACTAATCTATTAATATTTAATACACAGGTTGACATTGGTGGCCTCACTCAATCTGATGTCAGAGCATGAGATCACATGGTACAGAAAGAATTGGAGGGAAAAGAGCCATCCAAGCACAGCCAGTGGTCCTCAGTCTTTCATCACTTTCAGTGCCTTGTAGTACATTAGTTTGTATGTAACATCCAAAATACAGAGAAGTAGCTTAAAAGATTTCCACAAAGAAACCTCAGACTGAAGACAATACCAACAATACAATCACAAATGAATAAAATGAACAACACAAACATGACAGAACCAACACTTCTCCAAGTCCTAGTGTGACATTTGTAAGTCACATAAAAGACAAAAACAATGGAAAAATTAATCATATCAGAAAAGCAGTCCACAAAAATATTCATATCTGTATTCGTTATCTATTGCTGTAAAACAAATCACTGCAAAACTTAGTGACTTAAAACAATAATAAGGACTTAGTATCTCACACAGTTTCTACTGGTCAAAATTTGGGTGCAACTTCTCCAAGTGATTCCAGCTTAGACTCTCACGTGAGATTGTGGTGAAGATGTTGGCCAAGGCTACAGTCATAAGAAGGCTTGACTGGGACTAAAGGAGCTACTTCCAAGATTCACTCGTTTGGCTGGCAACTTGGTGCTGGCTTTTGGGAAGAGGTCTGAATTCCTCACCACGTGAGCCTCCCTATCAGGCTGCTTGAGTCTCCTCACAACATGGCAGCTGGCTTCCCCCAGACTGAGTGTTGCAAGAGAGCAAAGCAAAAGTGGCAAAGTCCTAGCCTTAGAAGTCTGCACCATCGGGCCAGGCATGGCAGTTAATGCCTGTAATCCCAGCACTTTGGGAGGCCAAGGTAGGTGGATCACATGAGGTTAGGAGTTCGAGACCAGCCTGGCCAATATGGTGAAACCTCATGTCTAATAAAAATACAAAAATTAGCCAGGCGTGGTGGTGCATGCCTGCAGTCCCAGCTACTCAGGAAACTAAGGCAGGATAATTGTTTGAACCTCAGAGGCAGAGGTTGCAGTGAGCCGAGATCACCACACTGCACTCCAGACTGGGCAACAGAGCAAGACTCCTTCTCAAAAAAAAAAAAGAAAGAAGTCAGCACCATCACTTATCACTCTCACCATACTCTGTTGGTCACACAAACCAACCCAGATGTAGTATGGGAAGGGAGTATACCAGGAGGTGAGGACCACAAGGGCCACCTTGAAGACTGGCTACCATAGTCCACCCTCTGACCCCTAATAATTCACATCCTTCCTACATGCAAAATACACTCGCTCCCTCTAAAGTGTCCCAAAAGTTTCATCTCATCACAGCCTCCATTCAAAGTCTAGAATCTCATCATTTATATCAGGTCCAGGTGCATATGAGGATCCTCAAAGGCCAGTGAAAGTTACCCCAAAGGTATCTGGGGTTTGGGGGTTTTGAGATATTTAATGACAGCAAAAATTATTCATACCATGGTATTAGTCTGGGTCCTTATATGTGTGTGTGTGTGTGTGTGTATGTGTGTGTATGTGTGTGTGTGTGCGCATATAGAGAGAGAAAGAGAGAGACTGACATTGTAAGGAATTGGCTCATGCACTTACGGCAGCTGAAAAGTCCCATGATCTACCATCTGCAGGCTGAAGACATGGGAAATCTGGTGATATAACTCAGACCATATCTGAAGGCCTAAGATCCAGGAGCACCCCTGGTATAAGTCCCAGTCTGAGGGCAGGAGAAGACCAATGTTCCAGCCCAACAGTCAGGCTCAGAGAGCGCATTCTCCCTTACTCCGCCTTTTGCTCTATTCAGGCCTCCAAAGGATTGCATGAAGCCCCCCACACCAGGGAGCGCCATCTGCTTTACTCAGTCTACCCATTCAAGCGTAATCTCATATGAAAACACCCCCACAGACACACTCAGAATAATGTTTAACCAGATACCTGGGCACCTTGTGTCCCAGTCAAGTTGACACATGCAATTAACCATCACGACCATTAAAATAAGATAAAATAAATTAATGTTTAACATATTATCTATCTCACATGTCTCATCCCATTTACTTATATTTTATGTATGTTTCATGATATGCATAATACAACTATGCATAAGTACACTTACATATGTACTATATCTAAAGCACGCATATGTATACATTGTATGTTTACAGTATTCTTTTTAATAGAGGCACAGAATCAAAGGTGTGTATAAGCGTTCAGGCCACGGTAAGATGGCCCTTGGAGAAACAATTTGATTGGGAAATTCTGCATTGGAATTTACAGTATTCTTTTTAATAGAGGCACAGACTCAAAAGAAGTTTGGAGACAACTGGTGTAAAGAGACTGAAAGGTGAAAGAAAATGCTCGTCCATTCCTAGCTGCTATTTTCAGTAATCATTGTCAGGGCTTCTATCTGGTGGTTGGTAAGTAGTATCAAAATATAGTTACCAGCTTGACTGCCTTATGGGAAGTGGCAGAAAATGAGGTGGTTTTTGAGGGGAAGTAAATGTAAAAATCACATCAAGGAAGAAGAGGTGGGAGCTGTGGCAAGCATTTAGCCTCTTCTTGAAGATAAACGGAAGATTTAGAATCAAGGACAAATTTCCCTTTTAAAAAGCCAGTAAATGCATGACCCATTTACAAGACTAGAGCAATAAATATACCTAAGAAAAGTACCTAGGGAAGATTTTAAGGGGGGAAAGTGTATCCTTTCCTATAAAAATTGTGTCTTATTTTTTAAAGGGAGGGCAGTGCAGAGAGATGGTGGAAAGAAGAAAAGAGAGGGAGGACCGAACAAAGGGAGGGAGAGAAGGCGGTAAGGGAGGAAATCAGCAATGTCTCCCACCATTAGCTGCCAGCTCACTACCCAAAATGTTTAATTCTCTTCTCCCTTTGCTGCTTTTTTTCCTTGAAACTTTGCATTTATAGAATCAAAGGTCACAAGAACAATCCCACTGCAGTTCTTCGCCAGTATGGTCGTCCACTGTGGTAGTTCAACCAAACACCATAGTGCCAGTCACCATAGGCCCTCCAAGAATCCTGCTCTTATAAACCCGCTTTCACCTAGTTAGCTCCTGTGGACCAATACGGAATGTCCTAATTGAATTGTTTCTCCAAGGGCCGTCTTACCATGGCCTGAACGCTTACACACACAACTACTTTTACCCATATTTACAGTGTGCACTGTGCCATAAGTAGTGTAAGTTGGTACATGTTATTACCAAAATGTTTGTATAATTTTTAAATGTCTTAGTTAAATTATTAAGAATTACAGTCTAGGCTATAAACAATATCTACCATTTACTGAGCCCTTGTTTTCAGCCAAACACTCTTCATATATGATTTTCCTACATTATGTCATTTCATCCTCACAATAATCGTGTGTGGTAGGTTCGATTACTATTCCCATTTTACAGAGAGAAAACCAAGGCTGAGTTCTCTTACGGCAGAAACTTTCAAAACAAAGTGCCAAACACTGCCCATAAGCTGAACAAAAGTGTTTGACCACTAAAACTGAAAAAAAGGCAGAATTTCCAATGCATAGAAAAACAGACTACTGAATGTAGTTTTAACCATTTAAATTTGTCTCCCATATATTTTTCTTAAACATTTGGTACTTGTACCACTTATCTGCTCTTAAGGAAGGGTTGATAAAGAAGCAAACAAACATGTACTAAGCAATTATTTAAAAAAAAGAACCAATCATGTCACCCTTGATAACCTGATTTTGGGGGAGGATTTCATGCTTGTGATTCTATATTGCACTTATATGGTACAGTCATACCTTCTGCTGGTAAAGTTGTCCCTGACTCACGTGATGTTACTGAACGTGTCTCTGTGTAAGGGGTTTATACTGGAAAGAACATCAAGACTTCTAGTTATACTACCATCTAAACAAGTTTGTGAACAACTGGCCTAGCTCTCTCTAAACATGATTTTACTTATATCATTTCAATAATACACTTTTCAGAAACACATTTATTATGTAAGATGGTATGTGAAAGAAATGCCATCTTCTCTCACTGTGAGTTGAAATTGTTGTTCTTGTAGTTCTTTCCCTGTTCCAAAGCAATAGTGACACCACCCAGGAGGGCCACATCTCTGAAAGCCATGAGCAGAACTCTCTGGGAGAACTCGCACCCTGGGCTCCTGGATGTCATCACCTCTGCTCTGCAGAAGAACAAGGGACATGGCTCCCCAAAGGAGGAGAAAGTGAATGGGAACACCCCGGAGAGGATGCTGGAAACAGAAAGTTAGTTGTGCTGTTGGTGGAGCGAATGGAATGTAAAGAGGCTCCAGGGATGACTAAGTCTAGATTCTAGTTGGAAGTTAAGAAACTGAGCTTCACTTCTGGATAGAGTCAGCTTTCACCATCAATTACATGTCAAGCTCAGTAGCCAGTTCAAGGAAACAGCTCAGGAGGGAGGAGTGGGCCTGAGCGAAAGGAGGCAGGAACCTCCTGAGTAAGGTCAAAGGAGTTGGCAGCAGAGAAGTCCGGGGCTGCACAGAGCCCAAAGGCAGCCTCCAGGAGCTGGGAGATAAGCAGTACTCCCCACACGGTGGAAGTGCAGCCCCCACAAGACCCATCCACTCACTCAGCCTTGGTGCCACCAATAGCCTGGTCCTGGGGCAGTCTCCCCAGGTGGATGGAGACAGCTTGTCTCTTGGAGCCACAGCGCTGACCACTTCCATTCTCGTTGGGCCCTTTGTGTGTGTCAGACTCTACCCTCCCCTCCCATCAGGGCTGATTACAAATCTGTCATCATCCTTTCCATTCTATGCATCCCAGACAACATGCCCACAAGGATACTGGGTGGCTGGGATGGGCATTAGGATGCCTTGACTTAATGAAGCCCACAGAACCACAGTCCACTTCACATCCAAGAACACCTGCCAAAGCAACCTATCTACAAACAGAAATTGACACAGAACAAATGGAGCACAGGGGGCTGAAGGGATGCTAAGCACAAAAGTGGGTCAGATGCAAGTTAGATCAAAAAGAGGAAGGAAGCTTTCCTGGGGAACCTCAGCTCGAACTGGCAGAAGACCATGGATGAGTGTTTGGGGCACCATTCTGGAAGAGAAAGGAAGAGACAGAGGCTGACCCACTCCCAGGCTTCCCTGATCAGGCAGGAGGGCCCTCCCAGGTTGTAAGTAAACTGTATTAAACTATGCTGGAGAAAATATCCGTATACGTCTTTAAAGTGTTCCATGCATATATGCCAATGCCATCATTATTGCACTACTGTTGTAGTGGTGATGACTGATGGAATTCCTCACTTTAAATAAGAATGGCTCACTCATACTGAACAGTTGCCATGGCCACGCACCCTGATAAGTGTAATTTCATTTAATTCACCCATCTGCCCAATGAGGTAGGCACTACTGCCCCTCTTTTATAGGTAAAGAAGTTGATTCTAAGAGAGGTAAATAACTTGCCCTCGCTCAGAATGAGCAGCGAATGATCTGAGCCATTCAGCATAGCCAAGCAGTCCTAGGTAACGCCATGGCCTGGAGGGACAGCCCTGCTTTACAGCACAGCAAAACCAGTAAATGTAAAGATGCCCCCTAATCCCTGAGATAAGGCTACATCATGTGTGTGGAAGCCATTCGAGAAGGCAAGAGTTTAAAACATTTTAGGAAAATCGCCATTCAGAATGATGAAAACAAACTAAAGTTTGACGCTCAAAGAAGTGATGTCAGTGGGCTGGAAAATGTAGTTATGTGGAACACTAACCCCGGATGAGGCTGGATGAATGAAGTGTTACCTTATTAGTAATAGTAATAAGAGAGCAGCACAATGGAGATGAGCAACATTAGTCAAACTGCAATGGCTGGACAAATTGGTGCAGGAGAGAAGGGAGAACCTGAGAAACGTAGAAGTCATTTGTCTCTGGAACAGCTTCACAGAGACGTGGAGGACCCAGGCTACCCCAGCCACTTCCTACCACAGTCACTGACTGCTCAGAATGTGACGCTGGAAGCCAGGTGCACACCTGTAGTCCCAGCTATTCAAGAGGCGAGGTGGGAGGATCGCTGGAGCCCAAGAGTTCGAGGCCAACCCTTAGACAACATAGCGAGACCCCTGTCTGTTAAACAAAAAAAAAAAAAAAAAAAAAAAGGAATGATAAAAAGACCAGAGTGGGGGGTTTTTCCAGGTAATATATTTATTTCTTGCAGCAAACGCTTGGCTCTTCTCCTCTAATTTTGAAACCCCTGACTCTGGGTTCCTCTGTACTTTGGCACTGCCAGCATTAGAAAATATATATGTGCTGCAGCCTTTGTGCACAGTACAAGGCTACAGTAAAAGCAAACTGATTCTCCTTGTCTGGTATATTTATGCTGTGCAGCAGAAAACCAATAAGTGCATGACCTTGTTCCACACACAAATATGTTCTTTTAACAGGCTTCTCCTTTAAGGCAGCAAGTCTGCACTGGCTGGGAGAACAGAATGACTTTTCCTTTTAAGAAACGTGTACGATGGTACATTTTTTTTTTCAGCCATTTTTTTTGTCTTTTATTTTCTCGGTTTCACAAAATATACTCATAAGAGCATATCCCTTTTTTTCACATGATGACGTTAGCAGAACCATCGAACAGAAGGGCTTCCCTCCCAGGGCTGCTGGTTTGGTTTTATCGGGTGCTGGAAGTAGACCCCCGCGACAGAGATTCACACCAATTCAGATTCTTATCAGTTACATTAGAGGCACCATATTTCTGGCTGTATTCCTATCTGACCTCTTGACTGTGTTAGTCACATGGATATATGGATGGACAGAAAGACAAATAATGAGACTCTACAGGTCAATAACTGCTTTCAAACCACTACTATAATTAAGAAAGCACTGGTTTGATTTTTCTGCTCCTACATAACTCTTGTTTGGGGCTGAGCAAAGTTGAAACTGATTTATGCCACAGCACTCCATGAATAAAGCTTTGGAAGTAGAAAAGTGTAGCCACACATGTTGTGTTTAATTTACATGTGTATTAATAAGCACTTTGCTCCATGCAAGAGCCCCTGTGTGCTACACAGGATCGAGTGTACCATCAACAGTCTGTGGTCGACAATCACCAGAAACCTGCTCTGTGCCAAGCACTGTGCTGGGTGCTGCACATTCAAAGACAAGCAGAAAAAGAAAAAGGAGAAGAAACAAAAAAAAGAACCTGCAACTGATGGGGCAGTGCCACACGATCCAGATTCGTGAACACCGTTTGTGAAAATTGCTTCAACATCGTTCTGTGTTTCAAACGGAAAACCACCCCTTCCTCCCTCCACCCATGAATCAGTCAAGAACAAAAGGAAATGATTCTGAATTTTTCCTTTCTTTCCAAGCACCTTGGGAAGAGCCAGGCATAGAGCCAAAAAGAAGAGGGGTTTTACTAAGGAAAAACACCACCCTGTTTGGCTTTGATGGGAAAAAAAAAAAAAAGAAAGAAAGGAAAGAAAGGAGCAACTGCATCGTGTATAGAGGCTTGAATGATGTGTATGAGAAGAGTGTTTTTATGGATAACAGCCATGGGCAAAACAGCAGATCTAATCAAAAGCACTACACACATGGATGTTCCCGGCCTCTGGGAGAAGGGAACTCTTACGAGGCTGAGTTTCTCCATTTTTCTTCTTCAACTCGACACAGAGAGTAGACAGCCTTACTGTGCATAAAATATTCCTCACAGCCTTCCTGTCCTCCATAAGAAAAAAAAAAAAAAAGACTCCATCACTGAGACAAGCCATTAATTCCAAACTAATAAACTACTCTTCCCTCCATCACACAGGTGAGTTGTGGTGTGACTATCCATGCGGTTCCACACATGTGAGCGGCCAGAAATCGCCACAGCTACCCGCCTCTCCCTTCTTCAGAGCCCAGGAACCCAGTCCTGGCTAGGGGAAACAAGGAAGCTAAGAGGAATACTCCCCCTTCTTCTCTCCACTCTCCTCCTCCCCGTGCCCCTCCTGCTCCCCTGTTGGAGAGGCTGACTCTCTGTGAAAGGCCCCCGTAGGGACCAGCAGTGATGGGAGGCAGCAGCTGCTGTCACCCTCCATAGGGGACCATGTTCTCCCAGCTCAGGGGTCTTCACTGAGGTCACCTGCTCAGGTTCCTGTTCTCCCCATCATGGGCCCAGGATGCAGGGCTGCTACGTTTTGGAAAATCTGAACAGTGAACAACAGCCTGAGCAGACAGAAGCTGGGAGGAAGTGACCACAGGAGCCAGGGCCTGGGAGGAGGAGAGAGGCACTCCTAGCATGTGCTGGGAAACAGCACGCCAGACACCAAGGCCAGACAAGACAGTGGGGCACCGAGAACCAGTATTACAGTCTTATCCAGAAGAATTCTGGGTATTGGAAGGCCAGATAAAAGATACCAAATCCACCAGGAAGCTTCTTGACTAGACTTCAAATGGGTGCATTTTGTGCTTTTTTTGTTTTTATTTTGTTTTGAGACAGAGTCCTGCTCTGTCGCCCAGGCTGGAGTGCAATGGTGCGAACTTCGGCTCCACCTCAGGTTCAAGCAATTCTCCTGCCTCAGCCTCCCGAGTTGCTGGGATTACAAGTGCCCGCCACCACTTCTGGCTATTTTTTGAATTTTTAGTAGACACTGGGTTTCAGCATGTTGGCCAGGCTGGTCTTGAACTCCTGACCTCAGGTGATCCGTCTGCCTCGGCCTCCCAAAGTGCTGGGATTACAGGCGTGAGCTGCCGCGCCTGGCTGAAATTGTTGCATTTTGAAACCAGATCCACATTCCACTATTTTCTAAATCACTCTTGACCATCCCCAAATAATCTGACCACGACGGTTGATAGAAAGCTGGGGTCCTGGCTGCATACCAGGCACCTCGCCCGGTGTTTACTGGGATCTCATTCATGGCTCAGGCGGGCTCTGGCCTACTTGTGGTTGCTCCCTCACTTAGAGAGGAAGAGGCAGAGACTCAGGGTAAAAACCCACCCAGGTTTGCCCAGCCAGCATGGACCAGAGCTGGGATCTGCACCCAGCTGATTTGATTCCCGTCTCCACATCCTAACATGCTCATGCCATACTTTTAGAAACAGCCAGAAAAATATGTTTTTGTAATGTGACAACATAGCTAGGTTAAACTACAAGTCTGAGAATTTCCTTACTTGTGTGGTTCTGGCTTAGGTCTGGCCACCGGAGAAATAGATGTGAGATATATGAGGCAGGATCAAACCTGCAGGCTACCACTCAGAGGTCCCACACTAGTGCAATCTGCTGGCTCAGGGGCTGGCCTGGGGCCTCCTCCTCCTGCTGGACCTCCCCCTCCAGCTTCTCCGTGTCCTGAGTCAAGCACCGCACAGCTCCACAGCAAAGGACGCCGGCTACTTCAGGTCACCCATGTCATCCAGGTTGCAGGTGGTGAGAGACAGACACAACTGACCATTTGTCCTTGTGGGTTTAGTTTGTCTTCACAGTTTCCAGTTCGTCCTCAATTTCCTGTGCTTCATTCATGTCTTGCTTTTCTTAATTTCTGGTCCTGCTGACTTAGAATAGACCCCCTGCTATCGAACACAGAGGCTACAGCCTTCCAAGATGTCTTCATCAGCTTCCATGATTGCATACAGCCCAATTGCCATAAGAGATGATCCCAAATGCACATCACTCACGGTGGTTCTGCTTCTCTGATGCACGTGTTGGGGCTGGCAGTGGTTTCTGGGAAACAGAACTTTAAAGATCAATTCTTAGACTTGGAACTGGCTTATCTAGAATTGGTTCACTGATCTGATTAGATGTAAAGGTACTAATCGCCCTGTGACGATAGCCAAGGGACATTGGTAGCCTGTGACATGCAAGGGCAAAATATTCACTAAATTGTAATTTGTAATCAAGTGTCTGAAAGACAAGGCTTTAGGGGACCAAGTAGTTGCTGCTATAATGCTTTTGGTGAAAATAAGGACTCTAATGGAGTTGGTTGCTTTTAAGAGCAGTGCAGAACTTAGCAAAAGAAAATGAAGAGATTGGGGCTTCTAATCCTCAGCTCAAAGTCTGGGGAAAGAACAACACGAAGTTTCCAGGCCTTCCCTAAAGGATCTCTTGTCTTCTGTAGCCAAAATCTCTGAAAAACAATCCTAAATTCAATCCTAAGGACTGCTGAATGACAAAGCACATTGAATTCACAACCTTTCAAAAATCTTATATGTTAAAACCAGGGCATGGATTGGGCCCCTGAAAATGTGAGATCATTTCTGCCAAGCCTTTTTTGTCAGTGGAAATAGTGCTTCTTCCTCATCCAAGCTTCCTTTTTCTGAGGTCTTCCTGTGCCTGAGAAACTTGTCATGGTCTCCACTGAGGTCGCTACCTTGCAGGGGACCAATTCTCCTCTGACCTTACCCAACTGCCTCCCATTGCTTCTAGACCTCCGACCGGGCTCAAGTCCTGGCAGGCCTCAGGAGTAAGGTCACAAAGAGTAACCCACGGGGAGACACCGTACACACCAGAAGGACCAAAAGACCGTGAACTTTATCCACAGTATCCTGGAAAACATGTTTGGGAATGAATCCCCATGATGTTAGATCCAGGTGGAAGGAATATTCCAGATTAAGCCAAATTTGTTGACACATGTATGCCGAGCAGAGACCCTGGATTCAGCGTGTTAATGTGAGCAGTTGAGACTGGCTCTAAACGTCTGTACAGGCCACTTCCTGAAACACAGGAACAAAAGTGGCCTTTACTGACTGACGTTGAAAGGCTGGCACTTCCTCAGCAAACTTTAAAAGACAAGATCCAGAGGCTTAGGAAATCAGAATTGTAGAGTGGACTTATTACTTAAGACCTGTTCGGGCCGGGTATGGTGGCTCATGCCTGTAATCCCAGCACTTTAGGAGGCCGAGGCAGGCGAATCCCTTGAGGTCAGGAGTTCAAGACCAGCCTGGCCAACATGGTGAAACCCTGTCTCTCCTAAAAATACAAAAATTAGCTGGGCATGGTGGTGTACACCTGTAGTCCCAGCTACTCAAGAGGCTGAGGCTGGAGAAACACTTGAACACAGGAGGTTGCAGTGAGCCAAGATTATACCACTGCACTCCAGCCTGGGCAACAGAGCAAGACTCTGCCTCAAAAAAAAAAAAAAAGACCTGTTCACCCATTCCTAACTGTACCTGCCAGAAGAATCCAAGGCTGATATAAATTTACATATCTACCAGAAGATAGAAGAGGGTAGGTTGGCTCTTCTCTGCAGGCCAGGAACAACCGTGGGAACTGCAGTCACTGAATTGGACTGCCAAATTCATGAGGATAGAAATGCCAGGGTGGCAGGCAACCTTATTCACAGACACAAGGCTGGCACCATTACTGTAATGGGCAGCAGAGCCACCGGGGCGATCACAGTGGTTTGACCCACAGAAATCTTTGGTATCTCTAGAACTGAAATAGACATACCACCTGCTGGGTCTGATTAATAGAATTCTGACATGAATCATCCCAACAGAATTGTGACCCCTCAACCAATTTCTAGATTTGAGTCATTAGAAAGCCTCAGAGCCCCTTCAATGAGGGTAGGCTGGTCCCCCCTGACAAAGGTCCCAGTTACATCACTAATGGTTAACTGACGTATCTCCTGAAAGTCGGCCGTGACTCCTGGTTGCCAAAATATTTGCCTGTGGGTGAAAATGCTTGGCACCACTGATGACCCTCACTTTAAACTTCCAACCCTGGAATCCCTGGTTCTTCTGCCTGTTCTGCTGCTCCTCTGACTCTCCTTTGTGGCTTCCTCTTCTTCTTTCTAGGCCCTACATGTGAGAATCTCTGTGTTTCTGTTCTGGTGCCTTTTCTCTTTCCATTTCCTAAATACCTGTATCTCCTCTAGGTAGAAATTCCAAACTTCCCTCTCCAATCCCAACTTTTTCTCTGAGCATCATCCCTCCTTTTCCATTAGCTAAACATCAAACCCCTGGGTGCACTATCACCATCTCTAAACCATCCCATATCATTTTACTTCTGTTTTCCTATCAGTGAGGCTGCCATCTTCCCAATCAGATGTGAAACATCAGACATCCTTGACTCCACCTCTCTCTTCTCTTCCTACATCTAAACAGTCACAGAATATTAGCCATTTGTTTGTACCATGTCTTACCTACCTTTCTATTGCTAGAAACCCAGCCCTAGCTCAAATCATGAAGCACCGGTTCTCTCCAGAGGAACCATAGCAGGCTTCCACTTCTATTCTATCCCCCAACCATCCCCCAACCAGCCTATTCTCAGCATAGGTTCTGTTTTGGTGTGCGTAGTTCCATTATTCAAAAACCCACCATGACTCCTCCTTGCCTGCACAACACAGTCCAAGCTTCAGAATTTAGTATTCTTGCCGTTTATTATCAGTTCATCAACCGACATTTTTCATGACCCATTTTTGCATCCTTTACATAATGGATATTCCAACCAAACTCCACCATTCCCAGAATCTAACCCACAGTTTCCACCTCTACATCTTTATTTACAGCATTCCCTTTATCTTTCATACCTTCCTCCTCTCCACCTGTTCCCTTTATCCATAAATATTATTGAATATCTCCCTTGTGTAAGGTCTTATGAACATCAGGGCATTGTTCTTCCCCTGGGTTGCTCAGAATCCAGCCTGTTGAAATCCTATGAATCCTGCAAGGTTTAGTCTAGGTACCACCACCTTCTTGGACTCCTCTTTGATCTCGGTCAGAGGTGACTGCTGACCATTGCACTCTTGCCCTTGCTCGTGATGTTTTCTCAATGCTAGATGCCAGTCCTTCATCCTCGAAGGTTTTTGTGACAGCTGTTCCTTCTGGCTAGCATGCCCTTACTCCGTGTAGCCAAATTCTTACTTCCTTTAGTCTTTCCTCAAATTCACATCTTCAAAGGCCTTCCCCCACCACCCTATCTAAAATATCCTCCAACCCTTCCCCTGATTCACTTTTCTTCCTTGATGTTATCAGCACACATACAGAAGTGTGTGTGTGTGTGTGTGTGTGTGTGTGTGTGTGTGTGTGTGTAGTTTGTTATTTGTGTGTTGTAGGTCTTCCCCACCAGGCTATAAGCTCCATGAGAACAGGGATGCTATATCCGAGAACTGCCCTTTGGCAACACCAGTCACCTTTCCCTCATCCTCCCTCTTAATTTCACAAAGAACACACAACTCCAAAATTATAGTTTATACATTCTTTGGACCAGATCAAATTCCTAGACAGGGCTTTCTTTCCCCAATAATTATTTCCACAAGCAGAAAGGGAGAGAGAAATGCATTTATCCTCTCCTGTCCAGCTCATTGCTTTTGATTCTGGTTACATCGAAAACAACCACTGCCCTCTCCCCAAGCTTAGCAGACTCTCAAATAAGAACTTCATCAATGTCTCTTGAATGAATTCCCCCTACCCAAGAAACAACCTCTTACGTATCTTTTCCACAGCTTAATATCCTCCCCACAGCCTGAAGTACTGATGGTGCAGACCACTGACCACAGTTTTCTCTTTTAGGGCAGCTGCCTTCAGCAGGGACTACCACAGTTCCTTCTTGCAGAACAGCCGCGGGGCCCAGGAGCTGCAAAAGCAGAGAACACTAAAAGCAGAAACAAAGGTGCTCAGCCCCACTTGTGCCTGGCTTTAAGACAGAGCACCCCTTGGTGTCCCATTAGCTCCAGAAAGAAAAATCACTGGAAGTGGGTCTTTCCTCCTGATGCCCTGGACTCCCAAGACACTTTCTCCTTTCATTTTTCATCTCGCTGGGAGTCAGTATTTTTGTAACCATCGCTGACTGGATATAAGGGCTCTGTGGGGGAGACCCAGTCATCCTAAGTGGCAGAGACAGCTTGTTCCTCCACAATGTATCTTTCTGAGACTGCACATTGGTAGCAAAGGTTGTTTTGTTCATTACTTTTTCCTGGTATGATTGTGAGCACCCTGTGGAAAAGCAAGCCTTGGCTTTTCTTCTGCGATGGCGTGGTCCCCCACTGCAAGATCAGACACAGAAAGGCCTCTCTTTGAGAGGAAGAAGCACCCACACCCTGACAGTACTAGGACACCCAGAGCAAACCCTGTAAAGACCATGGGCTCTGCAAACAAAGCTCTCCAGGAAACAGCCAAGCCAGGACAATTCCCTTTGGTGACCTGCAGTGTTGATCATTTCCAACACCTTTATCTGTGGTCCATCGAGGGTTCTGAGTCATTTATTATTGGCACCTGTGACACAGGGGTCCTCATGGTACACACGTCTGAGCCTTTATTGCGTGTCTTCTGATCAGCCAGATAGGTACCTCGCACATCTCTAATATGAGCTCTGTGTCTAGGACTTAATTATCTAGCCTAGATTCATGTAATTCGCCATAGAATCTGGCAAACTGAAAATTGTCAGTCTAAAGACATTCTGTGCAGCTCCTCTGATGGCCACCTGAAGGTAATAACAGCCTGTCACCTTTAGACAAGCCGCTTGATTTCTCTGGGCCTGGGCTCCCTCACTAATCAAATGAGAGGGCTAGAAGTAGTTGGTGGCTCTGACCCTGGCTGCGTATTAGAATCACCTGGGGAACTTGTAAACTAACTATGGTGCCTGGGCCCCTCCTTCCCAGACTAATTAAGTGAGAATCTGGGGGAGGAGGTGGAGGCCAAAGCCCCAGTATTTTTTAAAAGTTCCCTAGGGAATCCTAATGTGAAGCCAACATTGGGGAACCACCAGATTGGAAGATCCTCAGGTCCCTTAGTGCTCACCTCACTCTGCTCTGCAAGGTGCCCAGGATGTGCCCAGGAGCAGCTGTTGCTGTTTGAGCACGGAGAGGCATTTCTAACAATGGCTTGCCTGGAGAGAAAGAGAGCCACAGCATGGGGGACCCACCCAGTGACATCTTACTGTTCAAAGTAAAAAAGTTCACTTACAATCACAATGGCCTCTGCAGGGGCTTAATGTGTCCATGGAGAACACAGGATCAGGGGTCTTCAGGATTTTTCCAGGAGTTTCATCTCAACAAACAGTGCTCAAAACAGAGACCTGTCAATCTAACAGTATAAGCAGCCCTATCATTTATAGGTGGCCTTGTCCCTCTCTACAAAGGTGTATGTGCTCAGCCTTTGAGGCCCACCTAAATCCCACCTCTCTGTTTCTGCTTTCTGTCCCTACTTTCCCTCATCCATCCATTCATTCATTCAACAAATGTCTATTTCAGTGCCTAATTTATTGAGGCACCGTTCTAGGCACTTGGGATATATTAGTAAACAAAAGCAAAGAAAAAACAAAGGAGAGTAGGCTAAGGCTGATGAGCAGAGCTGGGGGAAACACCAAGGTGTAAACTGCAATAATAAAGAGGTAGTGGGGCTCAACCCCACCGACAAGGTGGTATCGGAGTGAAAACTTGAACCTGCTCCTCTTAATTCTGCTCCACAGTTCCCTTCCACCTGGAATTTTATATGGCTAGCCAGGTGCATTAGCTCACGCCTGCAATCCCAGCACTTTAGGAGGCCAAGGCAGGTGGATCGCTTGAGCTCAGGAGTTTGAGACCAGCCTGGGCAACATGACTAGACCCCATCTCTACAAAAAATACAAAAATTAGACTGGGCATGGTGGCTCACGCCTGTAATCCCAGAACATTGGGAGACCAAGGCAGGCAGATCACTTGAGGTCAGGAGTTCAAGACCAGCCTGGGCCAACATGGTGAAACCCTGTCTCCACCAAAAAATAAAAAAAATAAAAAAATTAGCCAAGCGTGGTGGTGCACACCTGTAGTCCTAGCTACTCAAGAGGCTGAGGTGGGAGAATCACTTGAACCCCGGAGGCAGAGGTTGCAGTAAGTGGAGATTGAGCCACTGTACTCCAGCCTGGGCAACAGAGTAAGACCCTATCTCAAAATATATATATAGATATATACACACACACATATATATATATATACACAAAAATTAGCTGGGTGTTGTGGTGTGAGTCTGTAATTCCAACTACTTGGGAGGTAGAGGCTCAGGCAGGAGGATAGCTTGAGCATGGGAAATGGAGGTTGCAGTAAGCAGAGATCAAAACATTGCACTCCAGCATGGGCAACAGAATGAGACCCTGTCTCAAAAAAAAAAAAAAAAGAATTATCTGTGGCTCCATGTTACTATTTCATGTGTTAGTGACTTCCTCCATGAAATTTTAAGCATCCTAAGGGAAGGAATATGGTTTATACTTTTCTGAACCTGCTCAGCACAGAGCAGATAATATGCACTGAGGGGGAAAAAAAAAAAACACCATTGAGATGGGGAAAGGCAAAAATAAGGCTAAAAGGACTATTTCATCTTATCTGCATTACAATCCATTCCTCCATCATACACACACGCAGAAGGTTTTTGGTTCCATTCTTAGATCAAATGGGCTTAATTCCATAGAATCATAGCATTTTAGACTGGAGGGGGACCCTGCAAATCATCTAATCCATATCTCTCATTTTATAGGCAAGGAGCCTGTGGCCTGAAAGTCTGGGATTCTCCCAAGTAAATGAGTGGCAGGCATTCCCCCAAAGGTCACACTGCTGCTGAATGAGCTGTCACTGCCACTTAGGAGCACCACAGGCTGCAGCACCAGCCAGGGCCACCCCTCACCCACTCAGTGACTCCTTCAAACAGACACTGACCCACAGCGCAAGGCGGATGTGGGGGCAGCTCGAAGCATCGCCACACCTCATGCCCCTGTCTCTGCTGGGCCCTCCATAGCACCGAAGCTCCCTTCCAATTCCCTTCAAATCCAGAAATTTGGCCCAATCAATTTACAGAACAAAGAGTTTTTTCAACATACTGTGTTTTTCTGTAATGAACCTGCCTGCACCTTGGTGTCTCTCTCAGAAAAGACGTAGATGGTAACTATCACTTTAAATGAGCAAGGAATTCATAATAAAACTGAAATCTACAACAGTCTTTTCAACCTTTATTAACCCATGCCCTCTTAAGGTAAGCACAAAATCACCCACTCCTTTAAGGGTCATTAAAGTTGCAGAATAAACCACATGCCACAGCTAAATACAAAACAGTAATAATTTAAAATGCATTTTTATCTTGAAAGATACCTTAACTTAAAAACATGTAATATTACTATGAACACTAAGTCTGCTTCCTTACTTGCTCCTCAGTTCTTTTTTAAGAGGAAATAGATTTTGTTTTTTTTTCCCAAATACAAAATACTGTAATATTCACAGTGCTTTTCTAAAACTACACAGGGTCTTATTAGGTGTTAATGGAAAAAGGCAAAGCTATATTTTAAACTCTGTTGACCTAAAAGTTAAATGATGCCAGAAAACATAAGACTTTTTGGAATGAGTACACAGCTTGGAATCTGGCACCATGTTTTTTAATTCAGATAAAAGGGGCGTTTGGCAGGGACGGCTTTGCCAAGTCTGCATGATTTGACTCTGCAATCACGAGTTCTGAAACCTCAACCTAATTCCCAAGATTACTGAGATCTTGGGGTCTGTCGTCAGCACCATCCCTGACCAGAGCGGACAAAAGTTGAATGGAAACTGAGTACCACGTGTGTAGCCTTGAAAAAAAAAAGGTTTATATGTCTGTGGCGGCCTGCCAGAGGCTTATAATAGAACCTCAAATAATAGCCAAGCAGGGAAATAGGCAGGGGCTTGCAGTTTCATCCCCTGTAGGAAGAAATCATAATATTGTCAACTAGTGAGAAAAATAAAAAATTGGAAATGTTACCGACAAGAATGTTGGGCTGAACTGCAGACTGTATTACACTTTGTTGTCCTTTGTATTCAAAGATAATGTGCCTGACAGTGATTGTTCGCTGAGCCTCAGAATGTGGCTTAAATACCAATGGGAAGCTCCAGAGTCTTTTCCATGCTCCATAAATTGTGCCGTGGTTTGCTGCTGCTGCCTTGTCACTCTTTGTTGCTCTGCTCTTTAGATTCATGGGTAAGCTGAAGCCTTTGGTCCAAAGGGAGGGAGCTCATGCCTTCCTGCCCACGGTGGGATGGTCAACTCATGCCTCTGGTTCGACAAAAGTTGATGCTACAAAGAGGAGCTTGGGAAGCCACTGTTGCTGTAGGAGGAAAGTACCTCCTTCGCCCCCAATAACCCAGGAAACAGCAAGGGTACCAGGAAACCGCTGAGCATCCTAGTGATAAGGGCATTGAGTAGAGAGCATGGACAAGTTCCAACCCCACACCACTGCCCAAATGAAACATTGAGCTCCAGAGAGTCCCCCCACCGCAGCTACCATCTATCAAGCATCTATGCCAGGAGATTTACAAACTGTGAAGTCAATGACTCATCTTATAGCCCTCAGAGAAATGAGGTCAAGGGCACACTGCTGCCCCAAAATTAGAGAGGCAGGCAGGCAGATACAGAGAATCACAAATTACCAGAGCAGAAACCTCTATGGGAACCAGTACCAAGGTGCAAAACCCTGGACTGTAATTGATAAATTGTTGGAGGCTCAGTGTGGACAGGTCTGAGAATTAAAAATTCCAGGATGACCCAGTCACAGGGGGCCCCCACACTTCTGTAAGTTTACCTTTAGGAGCTCCAGCAGCTGCACAGTGAATACTAAAGAAAGAAAACCCTCTTGAGCTTCCAGCAGGGGGAGGAGAAAAGGAACCATTTTGAGATAAAACAGAGCATTCTGTTCTTCTAACAAGACCTGCCCTCAAGAGAAACTGTTTTACCCGAGCCTCACCTGTCGGGTGCTTTTCAGAGCCTAACAGACCTGGAGAAGGGAAATAACCAATCCCAGCCTGCTGTAGCCTTCCACGTGGGGCAAGGGAAAATCCCAACTCCTACTCCCTCATATGAGTTAATATGCAAAGGGCTTTACTGAAGAAATCTAGGTAGACAACATGTAAAAACACTTGGATAATATAGGCATAGAGATGGAAATTCCACGAAGGAATCAAAAAGAAATACTAAAGATCAAAAACACTGTAACAGAGATGAAGAATGCCTTTGACATGCTCACAAGGAGACTGGACATGGCCAAAGAAAAAAATCTCTGAGCTGGGGGATATGATAACAGAAACTTCCAAACTGAAACACAAAGAGAAAAAAACGACTGAAAAACACTAAACAGAACATCAAAGAACTATGGGACACTTGCAAAAGGTGTAATACATGCATAAGGGGAATCCCAGAAGGAGAAAAAAGAGAAAGGAACAGAAGCAGTATTTGAAGCAATAATGACTGTGAATTTCCCTCAAATTAATGTCAGACACTAAACCACAGGAAGCCAGAGAACATAAAGCAGGATAAATGCAAAAAGGAAAAAAACTATACCGAGTAGGCCAGGCTTGGTGGCTCACGCCTGTAATCCCAGCACTTTGGGAGGCCGAGGCAGGCAGATCACGAGGTCAGGAGATGGAGACCATCCTGACTAACACAGTGAAACCCCGTCTTTACTAAAACTACAAAAAAATTAGCTGGGTGTGGTGGCGGGCGCCTGTAGTCCCAGCTACTCAGGAGGCTGAGGCAGGAGAATGGCATGAACCCAGAAGGTGGAGCTTGCAGTGAGCCGAGATCACACCACTGCTCTCCAGCCTGGGCGACAGAGCAAGACACTGTCTCAAAAAAAAAAAAAAAAAAAAAAAACTATATCTGAGCACATCATATTCAAACTTCAGAAAAATCAAAAGGAAAAAATCTTGAAAGATGCCAGAAGTTTAAAAAAAAAAACACCTTACCTATAGAGGAACTAAGATAAGATAAGAATGAATAAGATAAGAATTACATCAGACTTCTCAGAAACATGCAAGCAAGAAGAGACTGGAGTGAAATATTTAGTGTTGAGAGAAAAAAAGAAAAACAACACCACCAACCTAAAATCCTACCCTGTAAAATTATCCTTCAAAAGTGAAGTAGAAATAAAGACTTTCTCAGAAAAACAAAAATTGAGGGAAAGTGTTGCCAATAGCACTGGTTTGCAATAAATTTTAAAAGAAGTTCTTCAGAGAGAAAAAAAAAAACTAATATAGGTCAGAAAGTCAGATCTGCAAAAGGAAAGGAAGAGCATCAGAGAAGGAATAAGTGAAGGCAAAATTAAAAAAACGTATTTTTCTCATTCTTAATTGATCTAAAAGATAATGACTTGTTTAAAATAATAACAATATATTTATTTCTGTATGCTTTTGTGTGTATGTGTATACATGCTTGTGTATGCATATGTGTGTGTGTTTCTGTATGCTTACGTATAAGTGAAATGAATGACAGCAATGCTACAATGGACACAAAAGTGGAATTAGGACTGTGTTTTGTGATATTTGTGGCCAGATGCAGTGGCTCACACCTGTAATCCCAACATTTAGGGAGGCCAGGGCAGGCAGATCATCTGAGGTCAGGAGTTTGAGACCAGCCTGGCCAACATGGTGAAACCCCATCTCTACTAAAAATACAGAAAAAAATTAGCCAGGCATGGTGGTGCACGCCTGTGATCCCCGCTACTCAGGAGGCTGAGGCAGGAGAATCGTTTGAACCTGGGAGGTGGAGACTACAGTGAGCCAATATCACTCCACTGCACTCCAGCCTGGGTGACACAGCAAGACCCTGTCTCAAAAAAATAAATACATAAATAAATTTTTAAAAAGATATTTGCATTACTCCTGATGCAATATAGTGTTATTTGAAAGTGAACTTAGATTAATTGTATACGTACATTGTGAGCTCTCAGGCAACCAAATTTTTTTTTTTTTTTTTTGACATGGAGTCTGGCTCTGTCGCCCAGGCTGGAGTGCAGTGGCGCGATCTCGGCTCACTGCAAGCTCCACCTCCCAGGTTCACGCCATTCTCCTGCCTCAGCCTCTCTAGTAGCTGGGACTACAGGCGCCCGCCACCACGCCCGACCAATTTTTTTTGTATTTTTAGTAGAGATGGGGTTTCACCGTGGTCTCCATCTCCTGACCTCGTGATCCACCCGCCTCGGCCTCCCAAAGTGCTGGGATTACAAGCATGAGCCACCGCGCCCGGCCAGGCAACCCAATTTTTTAAAAAAGGTATAATTGATATGCAGAAAAAGGAAAGAAAATGGAATCATATAAAATGCTTAATTAAAACTGCAAAAGGAGCCTCTCTCGCCCCACCTTCGCTAATACCAGTGCCTCCTCTACCTCTGTGCACTCCATGAAGGAGATGGGGCTAGAGCCAGGAGGTCTCCACACCTGCTCTCCCACAAAGCGGACTGCCCACAAGGCCACCGATGTAAAGCGCCCAGGAAGCCACTGGCTGCAAAAGCCGCTCGCAGAGTGCGCCCTCTACCGGAGGGGTGAAGGAACCTCATCGTCCCAGGTCCGGTACTGTGGCACTCCGGGAAATCAGACGTCATCTGAAGTCCAGGAATTCCTGTTTCACAAACTTCCTTCCCAGCATCTGGTGTGAGAAATTGCTCAGGACTTTAAAACAGATCTGCGCTTCCAGACCGCAACTATTGGTGCTTTGCAGGAGTCAAGCGATGCCTTGCTGAAGACATTAACTTGTGTGCTGTCTATGCCAAACGTGTAACAATTGTGCCAAAAGACATCCGGCTAATATGCCCCATATGTGGGAGAACGTGGATAAGATCACTACGATGGGAAACATTTCATTCTCAAAAAAAAAAAAAAAAAAAAAATTCTCTTCACCACCTGTTAGTGATGTTAGTGATGGTTCTGAATGTTAGGTTTTTTTTTTTTTTCCCATGGGGTCAAAAGGAACCTAAGAATATGACTGTGAGTGGAAAAATACAGGACTTAAATCAGGTATTGGCAGTTTTTCCATTTTTATTTGTGTGTGAATTTTTAATATAAATGCAGGGACACAAGGCATTAATGCAAGCCAAAATGTTTCAGTGAACGAGTTTCAGCAGTTCAACTTTATAATAATTATAAACAAACCTGTTAAATTTTTCTCGATAATGCCAGCATTTGGATTTTTTAAAACAATTCAGCTTCTATGGACAGCAAGCAAATGGTGTTTGTAGCATTTTTATCATACAGTAGACCCCATTCATTCACTATTCTGAGTTATCCTACATGACAGTACATGTTTCTAATATTGTCTGTCTTCTGTGCTGTTCCTGTAAGTTTTAAAATGCATTAAATTCTTTAAAAAATTAAAATAGAAATTTAAAAAACAAGCTACAAAAGGCAAAAAAAAGTATGGAAGACAAAAACAGGAACAAAGAACAAGAGCAACCAATAGAAAACAATAACAAATATGGCAGACATCAATTCAACTATATCAATAATCACTTCAAATGTCAATGGTCTACCTACACCACTTAAAACATAAATAAAGGGCTGGGTGTGGTGTCTCAGGCCTTTAATCCCAGCATATTGGGAGACCAAGCCAAGCAGATCTCTTAAGCCCAGGAATTCAAGATCATCCTGAGTAACATGGCAAAACCTCATCTCTACAAAAAAATACAAAAACTAGCCAAGCATGCTGGTACACACCTGTAGTCCCAACTTCTCTGGAGGCTGAGGTGGGAGGATCACTTCAGCCTGGGAGGTCAAGGCAGCAGTAAGCCAAGTTCGTAGCACTGCACTCCAGCCTGGGTGACAGAGCCAGACCCTGCCTCAAAAAAAAAAAGAAAAAGAAAAAGATAGATATTCAAAGTGCATCAAAACATATGACCCAGGACCGTTCCAAGATGGCTGAATAGGAACAGCTCTAGTCTGCAGCTCCCAGTGTGATCAACACAGAAGATGGGTGATTTCTGCATTTCCAGCTGAGGTACCTGGTTCATCTCATTGGGACTGGTTGGACAGTGGGTGCAGCCCACAGAGGGCAAGCTGAAGCAGGGCAGGGTGTTGCCTCAGCTGGGAAGTTCAAGGAGTCAGATTTCCCTTTCCTAGCCAAGGGAAGCCATGACAGACTGTACCTGGAAAAATGGGGCACTTCTGCCCAAATACTGCGCTTTTCCAACTGTCTTAGCAAACGGCATACCAGGAGATCATATCCTGCGCCTGGCTCAGTGAGTCCCACACCCATGGAGCCTTGCTAATTGCTAGCGCAGCAGTCTGAGATGGACTTGCAAGGTAGCAGCCTGGCAGGGGGAGGGACGTCCGCCATTGCTGAGGCTTGAGTAGGTAAACAAAGCGGAAGGGAAGCTAGAATGGGGCAGAGCCCACCACAGCTCAACAAGGCCTACTGCCTCTGTAGACCCCACCTCTGGGGGCAGGGCATAGCTGAACAAAAGGCAGCAGAAACTTCTTCAGACTTAAACATCCCTGTCTGACAGCTCTGAAGAGAGCAGTGGTTCTTTCAGCATGGTGTTTGAGCTCTGAGAACAGACAGACTGCCTCCTCAAGTGGGTCCCTGACCCCCGTGTAGACTAACGGAGAGACACATCCCAGTAGGGGCCGACTGACACCTCATAGAGGTGGGTGCCCCTCTGGGACAAAGCTTCCAGAGGAAGGATCAGGCAGCAATATTTACCGTTCTGCAATATTTGCTGTTCTGTGGCCTCCGCTGGTGATACCCAGGCAAACAGTGTCTGGAGTAGACCTCCAGCAAACTCCAACAGACCTGGAGCTTAGAAACCTGTTAGAAGGAAAACTAACAAACAGAAAGGAATAGCATCAACATCAACAAAAAGGACATCCACACCAAAACCCCATCTGTAGGTCACCAACATCAAAGACCAAAGGTAGATAAAACCACAAAGATGGGGAGAAACCAGAGCAGAAAAGCTGAAAATTCTAAAAACCAGAGCGCCTCTTCTCCTCCAAAAGATCGCAGCTCCTCGCCAGCAATGGAACAAAGCAGGACAGAGAATGACTTTGACGAGTTGACAGAAGTAGGCTTCAGAAGGTTGGTAATAACAAACTTCTCCAAGCTAAAGGAGGATGTTCAAAACCATCACAAGGAAGCTGAAAACCTTGAAAAAAGATTAGAAGAATGGCTAGCTAAAATAAACAGTGTAGAGATCTTAAATGACCTGAGGGAGCTGAAAACCACGGCACAAGAACTACGTGATGCATGCACAAGCTTCAGTAGCCAATTCGATCAAGTGGAAGAAAGGGTATCAGTGATTGAAGATCAAATTAATGAAATAAAGTGAGAAGAGAAGTTTAGAGAAAAAAGAGTAAAAAGAAATGAACAAAGCCTCCAAGAAATATGGGACTATGTGAAAAGACCAAATCTATGTTTGATTGGTGTACCCAAAAGTGATGGGGAGAATGGAACCAAGTTGGAAAACACTCTTCAGGATATTATCCAGGAGAACTTCCCCAACCTAGCAAGGCAGGTGAACATTCAAATTCAGGAAATACAGAGAACACCACAAAGATACTCCTTGAGAAGAGCAACTCCAAGACACATAATTGTCAGATTCACCAAGGTTGAAATGAAGGAAAAAAATGTTAAGGGCAGCCAGAGAGAAAGGTCGGGTTACCCGCAAAGGGAAGCCCATCAGACTAACAGCAGATCTCTTGGCAGAAGCTCTACAAGCCAGAAGACAGTGGGGGCCAATAGTCAACATTCTTAAAGAAAAGAATTTTCAAGCCAGAATTTCATATCCAGCCAAACTAAGCTTCATAAGTGAAGGAGAAATAAAAACCTTTACAGACAAGCAAATGCTGAGAGATTTTGTCACCACCAGGCCTGCCTTACAAGAGCTCCTGAAGGAAGCACTAAACATGGAAAGGAACAACCAGTACCAGCCACTGCAAAAACATGCCAAATTGTAAAGACCATCGATGCTAGGAAGAAACTGCATCAACTAACAGGCAAAATAACCAGTTAACATCATAATGACAAGATCAAATTCACACATAACAATATTAGCTTTAAATGTAAGTGGGCTAAATGCCACAATTAAAAGACACAGACTGGCAAATTGGATAAAGAGTCAAGACCCATCAGTATGCTGTATTCAGTAGACCCATCTCATATGCAGAGACACACATAGGCTCAAAATAAAGGGATGGAGGAAGATCTACCAAGCAAATGGAAAGCAAAAAAAAGCAGGGATTGCAATCCTAGTCTCCGATAAAACAGACTTTAAACCAACAAAGATCAAAAGAGGCAAAGAAGGCCATTACATAATGGTAAAGGGATCAATTCAACAAGAAGAGCTAACTATCCTAAATATATATGCACCCAATACAGGAGCACCCAGATTCATAAAGCAAGTCCTTAGAGACCTACAAAGAGACTTAGACTCCCACACAATAATAATGGGAGACTTTAACACCCCACTGTCAATATTAGACAGATCAACAAGACAGAAGGTTAACAAGGATATCCAGGACTTGAACTCAGCTCTGCACCAAGCAGACCTAATAGACATCTATGGAACTCTCTATCCCAAATCAACAGAATATACATTCTTCTCAGCACCACATCTCACTTATTCCAAAATTGACCACATAGATGATAGTAAAGCACTCCTCAGCAAATGTAAAAGAACAGAAATCACAACAAACTGTCTCTCAGACCACAGTGCAATCAAATTAGAACTCAGGATTAAGAAATTCACTCAAAATCACACAACTACATGGAAACTGAACAACCTGCTCCTGAATGACTACTGGGTAAATAACAAAATGAAATCAGAAATAAAGATGTTCTTTGAAACCAATGAGAACAAAGACACAACAGACCAGAATCTCTGGGATACATTTAAAGCAGGGTGTAGAGGGAAATTTATAGCACTAAAGGACCACAAGAGAAAGCAGGAAAGATCTAAAATTGACACCCAACATCACAATTAAAAGAACTAGAGAAGCAAGAGCAAACAAATACAAAAGCTAGCAGAGGGTAAGAAATAACTAAGATCAGAGCAGAACTGAAGGAGATAGAGACACAAAGAAACCCTTCAAACAATCAATGAATCCAGGAGCTGGTTTTTGGAAAAGATCAACAAAATTCATAGACTGCTAGCAAGACTAATAAAGAAGAAAAGAGAGAAGAATCAAATAGAAGCAATAAAAAATGATAAAGGCGGCTGGGTGTGGTGGCTCACGGCCGTAATCCCAGCACTTTGGGAGGCTGAGGCGGGTGGATCATGAGGTCAGGAGATCGGGACCATCCTGGCTAACATGGTGAAACCCCGTCTCTACTAAAAATACAAAAAAAAAATTAGCCTAGAGTGGTGGTGGGCATCTGTAGTCCCAGCTACTAGGGAGGCTGAGGCAGGAGAATGGCGTGAACCCAGGAGGCAGAGCTTGCAGTGAGCCGAGATCGCGCCACCGCACTCCAGCCTGGGCAACAGAGCTAGACTCCATCTCAAAAAGAAAAATAAATAAAAAATAAAAAATGATAAAGGAGATATCACCACCGATCCCACAGAAATACAAACTGCCATCAGAGAATACTATAAACACCTCAACACAAATAAACTAGAAAATCTAGAAGAAATGGACAAATTCCTTGACACATACACCATCCCAAGCCTAAATCAGGAAGAAGTTGAATCTCTGAATAGACTAATAACAGTCTCTGAAATTGAGGCAATAATTAATAGCCTACCAACCAAAAAAAGTCCAGGACCAGATGGATTCACAGCCAAATTCTACCAGAGGTACAAAGAGGAGCTGGTACCATTTCTTCTGAAACTATTCCAACCACTATTCCAATCAATAGAAAAAGAGGGAATCCTCCCTAACTCATCTGATGAGGCCAGCATCATCCTGATACCAAAGCCTGGCAGAGACACAACAAAAAAAAAAGAGAATTTTAGACCAATATCCCTGATGAACATCGATGCAAAACTTCTGAGTAAAATACTGGCAAACTGAATCCAGCAGCACATCAAAAAGCTTATCCACCATGATCAAGTCGTCTTCATCCCTGGGATGCAAGGCTGGTTCAACAAATGCAAATCAATAAATGTAATCCATCACATAAACAGAACCAAAAACAAAAACAACATGATTATCTCAATAGATGCAGAAAAGGCCTTCAACAAAATTCAACAGCCCTTCATGCTAAAAACTCTCAATAAACTAGGTGTTGATAGAATGTATCTCAAAACAATAAGAGCTATTTATGAGAAACCCACAGCCAATATCATACTGAATGGGCAAAAACTGGAAGCATTCCCTTCAAAAACTGGCACAAGACAGGGATGCCCTCTCTCACCATTCATGTTCAACATAGTGTTGGAAGTTCTGGCTAGGGCAATCAGGCAGGAGAAGGAAATAAAGGGTATTCAATTAGGAAAAAAGGAATTTAAATTGTCCCTGTTTGCAGATGACATGATTGTATATTTAGAAAACCCCATCATCTCAGCTCAAAATCTCCTTAAGCTGATAAGCAACTTCAGCAAAGTCTCAGAATACAAAATCATTGTGCAAAAATCACAAGCATTCCTATACACCAATAACAAACAAACAGAGAGCCAAATCATGAGTGAACTCCCATTCACAATTGCTACAAAGAGAATAAAATACCTAGGAATCCAACATACAAGGGATGTGAAGGACCTCTTCAAAGAACACTACAAACCACTGCTCAACAAAATACAAGAGGACACAAACAAATGGAAGAACATTCCATTCTCATAGATAGGAAGAATCAATATCATGAAAATGGCCATACTGCCCAAGGTAATTTATAGATTCAATGCTATCCCAATCAAGCTACCAAAGACTTTCTTCACAGAATTGGAAAAAACTACTTTAAAGTTCATATGGAACCAAAAAAGAGCCCACATTGCCAAGACAATCCTAAGCAAAAAGAATAAAGCTGGAGGCATCACACTACCTGACTCCAAACTATACTACAAGGCTACAGTAACCAAAACAGCATAGTGCTGGTACCAAAACAGAGATATAGACCAATGGAACAGAAAAGAAGCCTCAGAAATAACACTACACATCTGCAACCATCTGATCTTTGACAAACCTGACAAAAACAAGATATGGGGAAAGGATTCCCTATTTAATAAATGGTGCTGGGAAAACTGGCTAGTCATACGTAGAAAGCTGAAACTGGATCCCTTCCTTACACCTTATACAAAAATTAATTCAAGATGGATTAAAGACTTACATGTTAGACCTAAAACCATAAAAACCCTAGAAGAAAACCTAGGTAATACCATTCGGGACATAGGCATGGGCAAGGACTTCAAGAGTAAAACACCAAAAGCAATGGCAACAAAAGCCAAAATAGACAAATGGGATCTAATTAAACTAAAGAGCTTCTGCACAGCAAAAGAAATTACCATCAAAGTGAACAGGCAACCTACAGAAAGGGAGAAAATTTTTGCAATCTACTCATCTGACAAAGGGCTAATATCCAGAATCTACAAAGAACTTAAATTTACAAGAAAAAAACAACCCCATCAAAAAGTGGGCAAAGGATATGAACAGACACTTCTCAAAAGAAGACATTTATGCAGCCAACAGACACATGAAAAAATGCTTATCATCACTGGTCATCAGAGAAATGCAAATCAAAACCATACCGTCTCACACCAGTTAGAATGGTGATCATTAAAAAGTCAGGAAACAAGAGATGCTGGAGAGGATGTGGAGAAATAGGAGCACTTTTACACCGTTGGTGGGAGTATAAACTAGTTCAATCATTGTGGAAGACAGTGTGGTGATTCCTGAAGGATCTAGAACTAGAAATACCATTTAACCCAGCCATCCCATTACTGGGTATATACCCAAAGGATTATAAATCATGCTACTATAAAGACACATGCACACATATGTTTATTGTGGCACTATTCACAATAGCAAAGACTTGGAACCAACCCAAATGTCCATCAATGATAGACTGGATTAAGAAAATGTGGCACGCTCTCCCTCTCCCTCTCCCTCTCCCTCTCCCTCTCCCTCTCCACAGTCTCCCACTGATGCCAAGCCGAAGCTGGACTGTACTGCTGCCATCTCGGCTCACTGCAGCCTCCCTGCCTGATTCTCCTGCCTCAGCCTGCCCAGTGCCTGCGATTGCAGGCGCGCGCCGCCACGCCTGACTGGTTTTCGTATTTTTTTGGTGGAGACGGGGTTTCGCTGTGTTGGCCGGGCTGGTCTCCAGCTCCTAACCGCGAGTGATCCGCCAGCCTCGGCCTCCCGAGGTGCCGGGATTGCAGACGGAGTCTGGTTCACTCAGTGCTCAATGCTGCCCAGGCTGCAGTGCAGTGGCGTGATCTCGGCTCGCTACAACCTCCACCTCCCAGCCGCCTGCCTTGGCCTCCCAAAGTGCCGAGATTGCAGCCTCTGCCCGGCCGCCACCCCGTCTGGGAAGTGAGGAGCGTCTCTGCCTGGCTGCCCATCGTCTGGGACGTGAGGAGCCCCTCTGCCTGGCTACCCAGTCTGGAAAGTGAGGAGCGCCTCTACCTGGCCGCGACCCCGTCTGGGAGGTGAGGAGCGTCTCTGCCCGGCTGCCCTGTCTGAGAAGTGAGGAGACCCTCCGCCTGGCAACCGCCCCATATGAGAAGTGAGGAGCCCCTCTGACCGGCAGCCACCCTGTCTGGGAAGTGAGGAGCGTCTCCGCCCGGCAGCCACCCCATCCGGGAGGGAGGTGGGGGTCAGCCCCCCCCAGGCCAGCCGCCCCTTCTGGGAGGGAGGTGGGGGGGTCAGCCCCCCGCCCGGCCAGCCGCCCCGTCCGGGAGGGAGGTGGGGGGGTCAGCCCCCGGCCCGGCCACCGCCCCGTCCGGGAGGGAGGTGGGGGGGTCAGCCCCCCGCCTGGCCAGCCGCCCCGTCCGGGAGGGAGGTGGGGGGGGTCAGCCCCCCGCCCGGCCAGCCGCCCAGTCCGGGAGGTGAGGGGCGCCTCTGCCCGGCCGCCCCTACTGGGAAGTGAGGATCCCCTCTGCCCAGCCACCACCCCGTCTGGGAGGTGTACCCAACAGCTCATTGAGAAGGGGCCATGATGACAATGGCGGTTTTGTGGAATAGAAAGGGGGGAAAGGCGGGGAAAAGATTGAGAAATCGGATGGTTGCCGTGTCTGTGTAGAAAGAGGTAGACACGGGAGACTTTTCATTTTGTTCTGTACTAAGAAAAATTCTTCTGCCTTGGGATCCTGTTGATCAGTGACCTTACCCCCAACCCTGTGCTCTCTGAAACATGTGCTGTGTCCACTCAGGGTTAAATGGATTAAGGGCGGTGCAAGATGTGCTTTGTTAAACAGATGCTTGAAGGCAGCATGCTCGTTAAGAGTCATCACCACTCCCTAATCTCAAGTACCCAGGGACACAAACACTGCGGAAGGCCGCAGGGTCCTCTGCATAGGAAAACCAGAGACCTTTGTTCACTTGTTTATCTGCTGACCTTCCCTCCACTATTGTCCTATGACCCTGCCAAATCCCCCTCTGTGAGAAACACCCAAGAATGATCAATTAAAAAAAAAAAAAAAAGAAAGAAAATGTGGCACATATACATCATGAAATACTATGCAGCCATAAAAAAGGATGACTTCATGTCTTTTGCAGGGACATGGATGAAGCTGGAAACCATCATTCTCAGCAAACTATCGCAAGGACAGAAAATCAAACACCGCATGTTCTCGCTCATAGGTGGGAACTGAACAATGAGAACACTTGGACACAGGGCGGGGAACGTCACACACCGGGGCCAGTCGTGGGGTGGGGGGCTAGGGGAGGGATAGCATTAGGAGAAATACCTAATGTAAATGACGAGTTAAAGGGTGCAGCAAACCAACACAGCACATGTATACCTATGTAACAAACCTGCACATTGTGCACATGTACCCTAGAACTTAAAGTATAATAAAATAAAATAAAATAAAATAAAATATGACCCAACTACATGTTGTATACAAGAAACCCACTTTAAACATAAATACATAAGTAGATTAGAAGTAAAGGGATGAAGAAAGATTTACCATTCCAACACTAATCCAGGGAAAGTGAGAGTAGTTATATTAATTTCAACAGAACAGATTTCAGCGCAAAGAAAGTTATCAGGAATAAAGAGGGACATTATGTAATGATAATGATAATTGAGAAGTCAATACTCAGAGAAGACATAACAATCCTTAATGTACATGCACCTAACAGAGTGCCAAAATACATGCGGCAAAAACTGATCAAACTGCAAGGCAGAATAGATAAAAGCACTATTATATTTGGACACTTTAACACACCTTTATCAGAAATGGACAGATCCAACAGGCATAAAAATAAAATCAGTAAGGACGTAGCTGAACTCAACAGCACCATCAATCAACTGGATATAATTGACATCTATAGACTACTTCATCCAACAATAGCAAATTACACATTTTTCTCAAGTTCACATGGAACATTCTCCAACATAGGCCACATTCTGTTCTATCTTAGGACATAAAATATATCTTAACAAATTTAAAAGAATGGAAACTATGGCTGGGCACAGTGGCTCACACCTGTAATCCCAGCACTCTGGGAGGCTGAGGCAAGTGGATCACGAGGTCAGAAGTTCGAGACCAGCCTGGCCAAGATGGTGAAACCCCATCTCTACTAAAAATAAAAAAAATCAGCCAGGCGTGGTGGTGGGCGCCTGTAATCCCAGCTACTTGGGAGGCTGAGGCAGGAGAATCACTTGAACCCAGGAGGCGGAGGTTGCAGTGAGCCAAGTTCATGCCACTGAACTCCATCCTGGGCTACAGAGTGAGACTCCATCTCAAAAAAATAATAATAATCAAATAATAATAATAATAATAATCATCATCATCATCATCATCATCATCATAGAGAAAAGCAACCAGTAGTAAAATCTTGTCCTTTGGAGAGATCGATAAAATTGATAAACCTCTAGACAGACTAAATTTTTTTAAAAAGAGAAAGAGAAAACACAAATTACTAGTATTGCAAATGAAAGAGAGAATGTCACTACAGATCCCATGAACTTTAAAAGGATAATAAAGGAATATTATGATCAACCCCCACTCACAAATTTTATAACCTAGATGAAATGTACTAAGTTCTTAAAAGGCACAATCTGCCAAAACTCACACAAGAATAAAGAGACAATCTGTATAGACCTATACTTATTAAAGAAATTGAATCAATAATTTAAAATGTCCTTGTATAAAGCACCTTGTAAGAGTGAAACCATCAAACCCAGATGGGTTCACTGGTGAATTCTACCAAATAGTTAAATTAGAAATTATACCTATATAATTTATAATATAGATATAATCTCTTCCAGAAGGTGGAAACAGAGAGAATACTTCCTAACTCATTCTATGAGGTCAGTATTACCCCAATACCAAAATCAGACAAAGACATTACAAGAAAAGAAATCTACAGACCAACACCTCTCAAGAGCACAGAAGCAAAAATCCTCAACGAAATATTAGCAAATCAAATCCAACAACGTACAAAAAGAATTATGCACAACTGAGTGGAATTTATCCCAGGTATGCAAGACCAGTTTACTATTCAAAAATCTGTTAATGTAATCCATCACATCAACAGGCTAAAGAAGAAAAATCACATAAACGTATCAATAGATGCAGGAAAACCATTTGACAAAATCCAATACCCATTTATGATTAAAACTCTCAGCAAACTAGGAATAGAGAGAAGCTCCTCAACATGATAAAGAACATCTACCAAAAACCTACAGCTAACATCATACTTAATGATGAGAAACTCAGAACTTTCCCACTAAGATCATGAACAGGCAAGGATGTCCCCTCTCACCACTGATTTTCAACACTATACTGGAAGCCCTAGCTAATGCAACAAGACAATTAAAGGAAATAAAAGGTATGCAGATTGTGAAGGAAGAAATAAAACTGTATTCATTCACAGATTACATGATTGTCTAGAAAATTTTTTTAAAAGATGAAAAAAAAACCCTTCTAGAACTAAAAAGTGATTATAGTGAGGTTGCTGGATAAAGGTGAATATTTAAAAGTCAACAAAAATCTTCAACAAAATATTAGCAAACTGAATTCAACACATTAAAAAGATCATTCATCATGATCAGTTGGGATTTATCCCAGGGATGCATGGAGGGTTCAACATATGCAAATCAATCATATCAACAGAATGAATGACTAAAACCACATGACCATTTCAATACATGCTGAAAAGACATTCAATAAAATTCAACATCTTTCCGTGATAAAAACCTTAACAAACTGGTTATAGAAAGAACATACTCCAACACAATAAAAGCCATATATGACAAACCCACAGTTGTTATCATACTGAATAAGGAAAAACTGAAAGCCTTTACTCTAAAATCTGGAACAAGACAAGGATGCCCCCTTTCACCAATTTTACTCAACACAGCACTAGAAGTCTTAGCCAGAGCAATTAGACAAGAAAAAGATATAAAGGGAATCCAAACTGGAAAGGAAGAAGTCAAGTTATCTTCGTTTGCAGATGATGGGATCTTATATATAGAAGAACCTAAAGACTCCATCCACCCAAAACTATTAGCACCAAAAAGCAAATTCAGTAAAGTTGCAGGATTCAAAATCAACATACAAGAATCAGTAGCATTTCTATATGCCAATAGCAAACAGTCTGAAAAAGAAACTAAGAAAGTAATTCCATTTTCAATCGCTACAAATAAAATAAAATATCTAAAAATAAACTTAACTGAAGAAGTGAAAGTCCTCATACCTAGAAATAAACTTAACTCAAGAAGTGAAAGTTCTCATCAATGAAAACTATAAAATGCTGATGAAAGAAATTGAGGAAGACACCAAAATGGAAAGATATGACATGTTTGTGGATCGCAAGAATCAACATTGTTAAAATATCCATACTACCCAAAGCAATCTACATATTGCATTGAATCTACCAGAATACCAATGACATTCTTTACAGAAATAGAAAAACAATCCTAAAATTCATATGAAACCACAAAAGACCCCAAATAGTTAAAGCAATCTAGAGCAAAAAGAACAAAGCTAGAGCTATCACTCTGCCTGACTTCAAATTATACTACAAAGCTACAGTAACCAAAACCACATGGTACTGCAATAAAAACAGACACATAGACCAATGGAACAGAATAGAGAAACCAAAAATTAATCCATGCACTTACAGCCAACTTATTTTCAGCCAAAGTGCCAAGAACATACACTAAGGGAGGGGTAGTTTCTTTAATAAATGGTCCTGGGAAAACTGGGTATCCATAGGAAGAAGAGTGAAACTAGACTCCTATCTATCTCTCACCATTAAAAAAAATCAAATCAAAATGGATTAAAGACTTGACTCCAAAACCTAAAACTATGAAACTACTAGAAGAAAACATTGGGGAAACCCTCCAGGACGTTGGTTTGGGCAAAGATTTCTTGAGTAAGAGTTCAAAAGCACAGGCAACAAAAGCAAAAATAAATAAATGGGATCACACCAAGCTAAAAAGCTTCCACACAGCAAAGGAAACAATCAACAAAGTGAAGTGACAGCCTACCAAATGGGAGAAAATATTTGCACACTACCCATCTGACAAGGAATTAATAACCAGAATGCATAAAGAGCTCACACAAATCAATAGGAAAAAAAAATCCAATTAAAACATGGGCAAAAGATTTGAATAGGCATTTCTCAAAAGAAGACATACAAATGACAACTGGGTATATGAGAAAATGCTCAGCATCACTAACCTTTACAGAAATGCAAATCGAAAGTACAATGAGATATCATCTTGCTTGTTAAAATGTCTTTTATCAAGAAGGCATAACATGCTGGTGAGGATGTGTAGAAAGAGTAACCATCATGCACTGTAGGTGGGAATGTAAAGTACAGCCACTATGGAGAACAATATGGAGGTTTCTCAAAACACTGAAAATAGAGCTACCATACAACCCAGTAATCCCACTGCTAGGTATGCGTCCAAAAGAAAGGAAATCAGTAAATCAAACTGATATCTGCACTTGCATGTTTCTTGCAGCACTATTCACAATAGCCAAGATATGGAATCAACCTAAGTGTCAATCAACAGATGAAAGGATAAAGAAAATGTGGTACATACACACACTGGAATATTATTCAGCCATAAAAAAGAATGAAGTCCTGTCTTTTGCAACAACATGGATGGAATGGAAGTCATTATGTTAAGTAAGCCAGGTACAGAAAGACAAATATCACATGTTCTCACTCAAATGTGGGAGCCAAAAAAGCAGATCTCATGGAGGTAGAGAGTAGAACAGTGGTTATCAGAGGATGGGAAGGGTAATAGGGTGGGAGGAATGAAGGGAAGTTGGTTAATGAGTACAAAAATGTAGTTAGATAGAAGGAACAAGTTCTAGTATTTGATAGTATACTAGGAAAATTATAGTTAACAATAATTTATTATATATTTCAAAACAGTGAGAAGAGAAGAATTGTAATGTTCCCAACACAGAGAAGAGTTACGTGTTTGAGGTGATGGATATCCCAGTTGCTTAATTGCCCTGACATTGTATATATGTATCAAAATACCACATGTCACCCCAAAACGTATACAACAATGATGTATCAATTTTAAATATGTAAAACTCCTGCTCTATGAAGGACAATATTAAGAGAATAAAAAGACAAGCCACACACTGGGTGAAAAAATTTGCAAAAGACAAATTTTTTTTTTTTTTTTGAGACAGAGTCTCGCTCTGTCAACCAGGCTGGAGTGCAGTGGTGCAATCTCGTCTCACCGCAACCTCTGCTTCCCAGGTTCAAGCAATCCTCATGCCTCAGCCTCCCGAGTAGCTGGGACTACAGGCACATGCCACCACGCCCAGCTAATTTTTTGTATTTTAGCAGAGACAGGGTTTCACCATGTTGCCCAGGCTGGCCTTCAACTTTTGAGCTCAGGCAATCTGCCCACCTTGGCCTCCCAAAATGCTAGGATTACAGGTGTGAGCCACCACACCTGGCCTGCAAAAGACACATCTGATGAAGGACTGTTACCCAAAATACACAAAGAACTCTTAAAATTAAACAATAAAAAAAGAACAACCTGATTAAAAAATGGGTGAAAAGCCTGAACAGATAACTCACCAGAGAAGATACACAGATGGCAAATAAGCATATGAAAATACGTTCAACACCACATGTCATTAGGACATTGCAAGTTAAAATAAAAATGAGATACCACTATATACCTATTAAAATGGCCAAAATCCAAAACACTGACAACACCAAATGCTGGTGACGATGTGGAGCAAAAGGAACTCTCCTTCTTTGCTCATGGGAATGCAAAATATCCACTTTGGAAGACAGTTTGGCAGTTTCTTACAAAACTAAATACACTCTTATCATATGATCTAGCAATCTTTAGTATTTACCCAAATTAAGTGAAAACTTATGTTTATGCACATGAATGTTTATAGCAGCTTTATTCACAATTGCCAAAACTTGGAAGCAACCAAGATGTCCTTCAGTAGATAAATAAATAAATAAACTGAGGTGCATCCAGACAATGGAATATTATTTAGCAACAACAACAACAACAAAAAGAGCTATCAAGCCATGCAAATATATGAAGGAAGCCTGAATGCATTTTTTTTTTTTTTTTTTTTTTGAGATGGAATCTCGCTCTGTCACCAGGCTGGAGTGCAGTGGCATGATCTCAGCTCACTGCAATCTCCGCCTCCCGGGTTCAAGCAATTCCCCTGCCTCAGCCTCCCAAGTACCTGGGACTAGAGGGGCTCACCACCATGCCGGCTAATTTTTTGTATTTTAGTAGAGATGGGGTTTCACCAAGCTGGCCAGGATGGTCTCACTCTCCTCACCTCACGATCCACCCGCCTCAGCCACCCAAAGTGCTGGGATTACAGGCGTGAGCCACCGCGCCCGGCCTTGAATGCATTTTACAAGTGAAAGAAGTCAATCTGAAAAGGCCACGAGTTGGGTGATTCCAACTACATAATATTCTGGAAAAGGAAAAACAATGGAGTAAAAAGACAAATGGTTTCCAGGGATTAGGAAGAAGGGAGAGATGAACAAGGAGAGCATACAGGAATTCTAGAGCAGTGAAACTCTTCTGTATAACACTACCATGGTGGATGCATGTCATTATACACATGTCAAAACCCATAGGATGTACAAACCAAAAGTGAAGCCTAATGTAAAATATGGACTTTGGGTGATATTAACATGTCAATGTAAGTTCACAAAGTGTGACGAATGTACCACTGTGTTGGGAGATGTCAATAGTGGGGAAGGTACGTGTGTATGGGGACGGGGTATGTGGAAACTCTCTGTACTTTAAGCTCAATTTTTCCGTGAACCTAAAACTGCCCTAAAATGTAAAATTTACCAATTTGTTTAAAAAGTTAATAAGTGCCAGAGCTAGGATTTTATCTCAGATGGAGTCAACTCTAAAATTGTGGCTTAATTTGGCAATGCCAGCAGGTCTCCGAGATTACAGTCGCAGGTCCCAAGCAACTGAATTTGGACCCTGTAACACTTTACGTTTCTTCGACCCTTTCTTCTTAAGGTTTTCCAGCTTTAACTTAACTTCCAGCAGCCAAGGGCATCACACTATCAACAAAGCCACACATCAAGGAGCTATATTACTACAAGCAGGCAAAAATACTTAAGGAGGCCAGGCGCGGTGGCTCACGCCTATAATCCCAGCACTTTGGGAGGTGGAGGCGGGTGGATTGCCTGAGCTCAGGAGTTCGAGACCAGCCTGGCCAACATGGTGAAACCCTGTCTCTACTAAAAATACAAAACTTACCCGGGCATGGTGGCGGGCACCTGTAATCCCAGCTACTCAGGAGGCTGAGGCACAATAATTGCTTGAACCCAGGAGGCAGAGGTTGCAGTGAGCCGAGATCACTGCACTCCAGCCTGGTCAGCAGAGCGAGACCCCATCTCAAAAAACTTAAATTAAATTAATAGTTAATAAATAAAATAATTAAGGAAATCTTTATTCACAACAACCAGTTCTAAATTGTAAGTTGTACCAGGTATCTATTGCTGTGTAATAAGCAACACCCAAAATCTAGTGGTTTAAAATAACAACAGTTTATTATTATTTGTGATTCTAGGGGTTGGCCAAGAAGTTCCATTGCTCCCACTGGGCTGACTTATCCAACCATATTCTGCTGGTGGACCAGCTGGGTACTGTGCTCTACTGAGTCGGCTGAAATAGCTGCACCTCTCTCTCCACACAGTCTTTTATGTTGAGTTTTTCACAGCATGGTGACCTCCAAAGTCCAAGCCATAAAAGCAGAGGTTCCAAGCCTTTTAGGCTCTAGCCTCAGAAGCTGGACAGTGTGCTACTGTTATGTTCCACTGGTCAGAGCCAGTCCATTCGCCCAGCCCATATTGAAGGAGTGAGAAACTAGATGCCACCTCTTGATGAGAGGAGCAGCAAAGTCACATTGCCAAAAGGCATGAACACAAAAAGACGCGATTCATCAGGGGCCATTATTTTAAATATTGTTGTGCCACAGCTTCCTTTGGACCCATTGATTCACGTCTCCTTCACATGCAAATCCCCAAAGTCTCATCCAATCCCAGCATCAGGCTCAGAGCCCATGATCTCATGCAGATCATCAAGTACCGATAAAGATGAGGCTAGCAAAGAATGGCTCTTTGGTGCAGCAACTCTTAATCTAGAGCTCCATGAACTAAAAACAGTTATCTGCCCCACAGACACCCAATATACAATGGAAAGACAGGGATAAGATAACTGCAATTGATACTTCCACTCAAAAACAAGGGGATGGGAGGCACAGAACTGTCACTGGCCCATAACAACTCTTGAAATCCAGCTGGGCACATGTTTCAGGCCTTCTCTTCTGGGAATAAAGAATGTTCCTTTACTGGGGGCCAATTCTGCTCACTAAGATTGGTTCTCTCCATTCTTATTCTTCCCAGCTCTTGGTTCTGCCCTAGTCTTGTGGCTTTACCTTCTGAAACACCTTTCATTTATCCTCAACAATGGCCCACGTTTGCAGCTAGGAAGCTTTCTTAGTCTTCTTTCTGCCCGTGGAAAGTTGGGAGTACAGAGGCCTCTTTTTAATTTTGAATTCCCTCTTTCCCTTTCAGTCCAAGCTGACAGTGCTCTCATAAATACAATACTCTCAAAAAACTTTGTGGGTTTCCTATTAATTTTATAGTTTCTCTCCAAGCCCAAAAGGTATATCCATAATTATTTTCAAGACATACCTCTACTTTGAACATGTCAAGTTGCTATGAAACAATGCCCTTAAGATTCTTTGTCTGGTGAGAGAGTCTGTTAGGTACCTCCTTAAATTTTTCTGAAGTCTTAACAATAGCCATTTCCTCATTGTTCTTCCAGCATCTGCTAACAAACTTCTTGCTTCTATTGCAGCCTCTACCTGCCACCTAGTCACCAAACCATTGTCACATGTTTTAGGATTTTGCTACACTTGCACCTAGTGTCAGATAACAATTTCTATATCAGTTTCTCTGACAAAAAGCAAAGGCAACACAATGGAGCAAAAATAGCTTTTTCCAAAAATGGTGCTGGAACAATTGGACATCCTCATACAAAACACCCTGAAACTTCATGGTTTTAAACAACCGCAATTTATTATTTGTCATGATTCTATAGGTTGGCTGAGGAATTCTCTTCTGGACTTGCCTGGGTACAGTCCACTGGCAGTTGACTAAGACTGAGCTTACCTGGGCCTTTCTCTGCAGAAGTCTTTCTTCGTGAGCATAATTGTTCACAGCATGGGAGTCTTAGGGTTACAAGAGACCAAAAGCAGAAGCTCCCTAGCCTCTATAAGCCTGGCCTCAGAAGACATCCAATGTCACTTCTGCCAGATTCCATTTGTCAAATCAAGTCACAAGAGCAGCCTGCAGTCAAAGGATAGAAAAAAATGTAATTCTCCTTTTGTTTGAAGGTGTAGCAAAGAGATATGAATACAGGAAAGTGTAATTCACAAATTATTAGGGGTTATCATTATAACAATCTCACACACACATACACACACATAATGTAGGGAAATATGAGAATATGTGCACATGATTTTTTCACATCTGAATTTGGAATCGTGATATTTGCTTTACTAGTTTACTTAGATAAATGTAGTTGAGTCATAATATTTTATGATAGCTAGTGAATGGCCTATAGTATATTTGGCAAAAGTAATGGATTCTTAGTGATTTGAGATTTGTCTAGAGCTCCTGGCTATAAAATGTTTCCTGTAAAGTAAAATGATATTGCTGAGAAATTTTTGTGGAAATTACAGAGTTTATGGATTAGCAAAGTGAGAATTAATGAGGTTCCTCTATCTTTACTACAACCTAAGAACTAGAACTCCTATAAAGAAATTAGTTCTAAGAGTGAAGGCCTTTTTCAGATCATTCTGGCAAAGATGACATCATATTGAAAGCAAAAGACTGTAAAAGCCGAAATTTGGCCATTATAGAGATCATTTTTACTGCAACGTGTAATTTATATTAATTAAATTTTCACATGGATAACTTGGCAATAAAATTATTTATAATCTAAGTATGTCTGTAATCCTACTATGAAATATTTTTTACAAAGGTTTGAGACAACGTGAGCTATAGTTTTCTATCTTTATTTCTCAGTCACTTTTACCATTAAGAAATTTTTATACAGTAGAGTATAAAGTGTTGTTTCTCAGATATCTGTAACTGAAACAAAATATTATTTTTACTATTTCAGAAATGTGTAAAATGAGTGATTATAAAAATACATCATAACGTTTACCATCTTCTTTCATGCATTAAGGGAGCTACTAACAAAGTTGTACTGAGGAATATTGAATAAGACTGTTTCAGTTGGAGGACATTTAATTTTACATATGGGAGAAAGATCCAATCAAATCAGATAGAATCTCATGACATAATTTATACCTGTAGTGCTATTATGTCATCTTAATTGTTTAATAGTCTTTATCAGGCAAAAAGTTTTGACCTCTCCCATCAACGTTGACTTAAGACACACTGCTATAGCCAGCTTCAGAATAAATTACGCAGTCACAGAAAATGTTAAAACTGTGTGTAGAACACTTAAATGCATTAAAATTTTCAGTAATTCATCCTGTACAATCTTTCTCCAATAACATTTCAAATCTGACAGCAATTCTGCCAAAAAGTTTAAAATGTAAAATGATTATATGAGGTACCCAGAGTAGTCAAATTAATAGAGACAAAAAGTAGAATTCTGGTTGCCAGGGGATGGGAGAAGGGAAAATGGGGAATTACTGGAGATGGATGGTGACTATTGCTTGCACAACAACGCAAATGTACTTAACGTCCCGGAACTATACTCTTTAAAATGGTTAAAATGGTCAGTTTTATGTTGTGTATATTTCACCACAATAAAAAGATATAAAAATGAAATTAAAATACTGCAACTAGAAATAAATGCTAGCATCTTGGAATGTTTGTAGGTACAAAAGGAAGCAACGAAGATGACAGAACATAATCCACATCAACAATGGCACTGAGATGCGACAATAAAAGTGAAGGGAAAAAATCCCTTTTCCAAAATGGCAGTCACCACCACCACTAATACAGATGAAACTTGGCTTCAGAGGGTCAGTCAGATTCCGGAGAAGCATTGCTGACAGACATAAGTGCAAGCAGAGCACATTTAGTCTGCAAAAAAGCTCATAGCTTAAAAGGTGACTAAGTCTTGAATTAATCACTCCACTTACATTATTATTTTTTTAAATCAGGACTAGCTTAAGCATCACTACACCTAGCTGTCTTTACAGATCCCAGGGCAAAATCAGGAACCTCCATACAACATCTCAAATATTGCAATTCCAATATCTCTTCTCACTATGTTTCCCCATGCCCTGGCCTTCACCTGGCTGATTCATTTATCTAGGTCTCAACTCAGACTCTCTGAGGACGCTTCTCACTTTTCCCTTCTCTGATGGCTTCCTTAGTGTTCAAAATCACTCCAGTTTCCCTACCAGTGTTCCCCTGAGTACCTGTGGGTCTTTCCCACAAGCCTGGAAGCTGTTGGAAGGCTACAATGGTGCCTTGTTCATCAATGTATCCCCAGCCCCTAGTACAGTGTTTGGCCCATAGTAGACAGATAATACATGTTTGTTGAAGGAATGAATGAAGAATTAAATGAACGGAACACATGGGTCAAGCTTCTTGAAGACGGGTCAATTGCAAGAGACAGGCTCAAAGCCAAAGACAGATCCGGGGACCCAATCCATCCAATTGGAATGAAGTATTAAAAGCCACCATGGAGATGATACAAACCAAGACATAGCAGCAAGAGGTTGGAATGCAACTTTAGCCAGTAGCTCATCAGAAGGTATTACACTTCCCAACTGGTGCATTCCAGAATGCAATTTCTGTTCTGGAACATTGTTGTAATTGTTGCATTCAGAATATAAACTTTGAAAGTCCTATGAAGAGTTATGTAGAGTAGCTGACCCATTTGCTCATGAAAAATATTTTTCACTGGGCTTATTATGTGTATGTATGCCCGTATCGACAAAATCAAAAAAGGCTTTGTGTTTTATCTATGTAAACATTTTACTGTAAAAGTAAGAAAAAACGCAAAAACATGCAACTCAAGATATTCCCAGAATCTCTACAACCCTAATTCAAGTAAATATCCAAGTGACGCAGACTCATCCTGGGATCCACCAAGCCACTTATCCCTCTTCTCTCCACACTCAAAGCACCCACCTTTCTCTTCTCCTTGTTCATCTCTGCCTTTAAATTGTCATTGTTGAGATTTTTGGGTTTTTTCTTTACATGTATAATATTTAGTTTTTTGTTTTTTTTTTTTTACATGAAGTTTCACTCTGTTGCCTATGCCGGAGTGTAATGACACTATCTTGGCTCACTGCAACCTCCACCTCCCGGGTTCAAGCAATTCTTGTGCCTCAGCCACCAAAGTAGCTGGGATTACAGGTATGTGCCACCATGCCCGGCTAATTTTTTTGTATTTTTAGTAAGGACAGGGTTTCACCATGTTGGCCAGGCTGGTCTCAAACCTCTGGACTCAAGCAAACCACCCACCTTGGCCTCCCAAAGTGGGATTACAGGCATGAGCCACTGTGCCCAGCCTATTTATTCAATTTTTAAAACAAGTCAGTAAGTTTAGAATTTCTTTCAAAAATTAAAAAAAAATTGAGTTGCATTTTATTTATTTGCGAACCCCAATTGGTTTCCTGCCCACACCTCCCCTTTCCTCGAATCATTCTTGGGTAGAATCACCTGTGATAGAAGAAAAATCTCTGGTGACCACTGTAGCCCTAGCGAATGAAGTGCACGGCAGATGCAGCCCAAGCTCCAGCCCTTCCACATGAAAATCATTGTTTACACTTGATCAAGGGCCAAATGGCACTGACTGTATTACGAACAAGAAGATGTATCTTCCAAGTAATTAGCTAGTGCATAAATATCAAAATTAATAAAATAAGATACTATATCTTCTCATTTTGGTGGCTTCCAAACTGGTAGAAATTTGTTCTCCTGAACTCTTAAGATTTTCCCAGGAAAGGTAGAACTACATCAAAAAGAAGCTGAAAAAAAAAAAAAAAAATCCCTACAAGCAAAGGCCAGCTCAAACCCTAGATAAACTTTCCTCCCTCCAATCAGCATGTTACAGAAAATAATGTTTCCATTTAACAACAGATAGTTTAACAATCATTATTCTATGCCAGGACCTAGCAGTGCATAAATGGCTTCCCCTTTTGAAAAGTTTCTTCTTGCCCAATTGGACTCTAAGCCTCCTGAGGAAAGGGCTTACCAAATTCCATTTTAATGTAGTCACAGTTAGCTTAATAGCCTCAGGAATAAGGGCTGGCATGCCACTGGGGGTGTCAAAGAATAACAGGGGCAGGAGGGAAGGGGTAAGGAAGAGATTGCCAAGCAGCTAGCTTATTTCATTTCTGTTTATTCAACAAGCAGGTTTTATACCTACTGTAAAATTATTTTTTTATTTGCACATTTTATATATTACCTCTCACGGTTCTATGGGCTGACTAAGCTCAGCTGGGCAGTTCTTGCTTGGGGTCTTTCATACAATTGCAGTCAGACAACAGCTGGGGCTGGAGTCATCAGAAGTTTGGACAGGCCTGGCCATCCAAAATGGCCTATTCACTTGGCTGGCAGTGAATGGCTGGCAGTTGATGTTATCTGTTGGCTGGGAGTTCACTGCACACTATCAACCTGTCCACCTGATCTCACCTACACAAGATCCCTGATTCCTGAAGATTGCAGCTGGGTCCTAGGAGGGAATGTCCCAAGAGTGAGCATTCCAAGAGTCCCAAGTAGAAGCAGCAAGATTCTTATAATCTAGCCTTGAACGTCATAAAGCATCAATCCAGCTACAGTCCAGATTCAAGGCGGGGACACATCAGAGTGTGAATAAAGGAGTCAGGGCTTCTGGGTGGGAGAAATCTTAGGAGAAGGAACAAGATAGGCAGATAGATAGATAGATAGATAGATAGATAGATAGATAGATAGATAGAACATAAAATTTATAGATATATTTAGATACATTATATATGTATTTAGATATATATGTATATATAGCCAGATATTGCACATTACACAGTGTGCTTTATGAGCATTTCATTCACAAAAGTGAGTCCTGGTAGCTAGATATAAGCATTCAAACTTTACAGATGAGGAACCTGAAGCTCAGAGAAGCTAAGTCACTTCTCTGAGGTTACCCAGCAATGACTTTTCCTCTCTGAAATCCAATGGGCCATCTACCGCTATTAACCCAAAGTGCTCAATGAGCTCTCTCTACTATTTCCCAGGTGCAAGGTTTTGTTCTAAGGGGCATTGTTGGAAATATGAATGATAGAGGAGATACATCCCCTGCCTTCAAGGATTTTATAATCTAGTAGAGACCAAAAATATTGAGGTAAGATAATTCGTGGCTCAACAAGGAAACCTCCATTATAACAGATCCCCCTTTATCCAAACTACTGAAATTAAATATTAGGAACATCCAAGGGAAATTGCCCTGAGAAACCTCTTTGACGCTTTTTACGTCCTTCAAAGAGATTGAAAGAAAAGGTAAAAATGAGGAAGATGAGTAAAGGGTAGGACTAGAATGCAGGAGATCTGGAGGACTCCCTAAAAGGCTATTGAAAGGAAGGCTCCACCACTGCAATGAAGAAACTTTGTTTAACATGCAAAAATGTAAAAATGTAAATTGATTTCTTTCTAAAAGGCTATGCAAACAGGGTGTATATTTGTGTTTTTCTGTCAAAGAATGGGTTTAAAATACCTTTTTCCCTTTCCCACTGTAGTAGATGGATAGTCATAAAACCTTCCACCGTTTTTATCACACCGCTGATCACTTTCTCTACCTACAGGGCAATAATTTTCCACTCTGTAACCCAATCAATATGCTATCTACCACTAACTCCCCTTGCTATCCTTCTCCTCAACCTCAGTTATCAGATTTTTTTAAATTACAACTTTAAGTTTCAGACAATTTAAGTCCGTGGTATCTTTCAAGCTATTCGTTTAGTTTTTCATACATTTTTTAAGTGTCTATGTTCTTGCTGTCAACTGTTAAAAGCTGGAGAGTTTAGTTTTAAGAACTTGAGCCACAGTACACCTTATTTGTCCCCTTGCGTCTCGCTACTGCAGCCCTAGGTGCTTTGTATAATGCATGAGTGAACCCCGCTTAGAAATAGAAATGCATTTTCAATAAGTATTTATTATGTTGTTCTGAGCATACAGCTTTAAATTTGCCCGCTGTAGCTTGAAGCATTATACAAACTGTTGGTCTGCTGACTGCCTCTCTGGCAGCAACACACAGAGAAAATAGATTGCTAAGGGTTTTTTTCCCTCCTCCTCCCCCTCTCCTCTCTCCTCTCTCTCTCTCCTCTCCTCTCTGTTTTTTCCTTTTTCTCTTTTTAAACAAGTCGTGGACATTTTTTAATCTTGTGGCATTTTTAATCAACACGTATTTCCTTCCAAGACCTATGATCCCCTATTGATTCCCATTAAAATGCTTTTCTTTTCTTTGCCCCCTCTGCTGATCGAATTTCAGATCAGCCACAGGAGATGCAACTAACCTTCCGGCACTACTGAACCCAACCGAGCGAGGGTGATCAAAAGGCTTGATGCATTCATTAAACATTCCCATCGCCCGGGCAGGAGCTCTGATGGAAGCTATCTCTCCGCATTGCAATTTTTTCCCCCTTTTTGTCTTTCCCCCCACCTCCAAAAAAATGTTTTTTGCCTTTGATCGCAAGGGGCGGGGGTAGAACATGAGAACAAAAGAGACCTATCTTTTTCCTCAGGGCTGACGTCAGTTTGATTTTACTGACAACTATTCGAGCGTGTGTAGCAGTTGGAAGCGGCCCCACGACCGCCCCACCTCCCACCTTCCACTTTTGGGAGAAAACAAGACTTTTAGCGGCTCCGGAGACGCGCCCTGAAAATGGCCCGCTCGGGCTCTGCGCTTGCTGCCCTCCTGCCTGCTCGGCAAAGGGCATTCGAGGCTTATTTGTGTGGCACGATCTTTACTGGGGCGGAAAACACGCGGCGGGGGAGGAGCGGGCACAGACGCAGCCGGGCGGGGAGAGCCAGGAATGTTCCTCCCGGCGTGGGGAGAGGAGAGGACACGGGCAGAGAAAATAGTCCCCGCCCGGCGCGGGGCGCGCGGGGTCCGGGTCCCGGGCGGCTCCGGGTGGCGCGGCGGCGCGAGGGTTCCGGCCGCGCGGAGTCGGGGCGCAGGGAGCCTCAGACGCCGCGGGCGCGCGTGCGCGGTGCGGCCCCCACGCCCCGGCCGCGGCGGCCTCGGCGGCGCCAGCCTCCGGCTCGGCGAGCGCGGCGGCGGGCGGGCCGCAAAACCTGGGCCGGAGCCGGGCGCGGAGCGGGCGGCGCCGCGGAGTTTGGGCGGCAGCGCGGCCCGGCGAGGAGCTGGAGAAGCCGGCGGCAGGGGGACGCGCACGCCGAAGAAAAGCCCCTCTCCCGCGTCCCTCACTCGCTCCTGGAGGCCGAAGAGCGGGGCTCGCGATGCCGGTGCAAGATTCCCAATCAGGCCTGGGAGGAAATGGATGCAATTAGGGCACACCCCCGTCCCGCAGTTGCCAGGAGCCTGAAGATCTATGACCGACTTAAGCCATTTCTGGAAAAGTCATATTTTCCAGGCTTTCGTGAAATACTCATTGCTCCTATTCTAAATCTGGAGGCGAATGTGCATCTATTTCAGGGGGAATGAAAGATGTGAAAAGTAGACTGGGCTCCGGGAAATGTGGGTAATGGGACTGGACCTGCGCCTGGGGTCCGCCCACCCGTCATCTCCCGGGAGCCCCCCGACGTGTGCCATTAAGCATAAGGCGCGTTAAGCGCTGCCACAAAGTCCCGAAAAGGCGAATTAAAAAGGATCACTTCTCCCTCAGGATCTTGATTTTTACTAAGGGAAAACGTGCGTTAAAGAAAAGCCAGCGAGCGCTGGCGTGGCCCTGTCATTATCTTGGCGTCTCTGCTGACCTCCATTTCAGCCTGGACTACACTGGGTTCCAGTTCTGTTTTCCTATTTCCCCGGACTCCTAGAGGGTGGATACCAAGGCTGATTGTTGTCTGTTCTGCCCCAGCCCTCCAGGGTACACCATAGGTGCTCAGTAGATGACTCCTGAGTATATATTGGAGGTGATAGTAAAATGCTACCAAGCACAGAGGAAAGAACAGTTAAAGGGTCAGACGGTGCTTTGTGAAAGGCCAGGCATTTGAGCTGGATTCTGAAGACCAACTCTAGATGACAGTAAAGGCCACTCCAGGTTGAGGGAACAACATGAGCAAAGCAGGGAACCTACAATGAGTAGGAAAGTGATGAATCTGCATAGGGGGTTACTCAGGGGGCATAGAAAAGGAAGCCAGGAAGCCACTGAATACCTTGCCACACAGGTAACAGCCAGGAAAAGCACAAAACATGCTGTTCAGTGGTTCTGGAATATGGGCATGCAAATATATAATAAAATAAGCAATGTGGATATACAAAAACAAAAGTAAAAAGAAAAACAGGACAGTTTATTGGGGAATTTCAGAAAAAGTACATGAAACAAAAAAGAAATGTCAAGGAAAATCCCTGGCCTGAAACTCCCAGAACAAAACATTTAATACCATTTGTGGGGGCTCTTTATGAAAGAGGGAGAAAGAAAAGAGGTAACAAAGAGGAACTAGTGTTTTGATTAAAGATCTTTGACCATAACAATGCGAAAGCATAAGGTCTCTTATCATAAGAGACCTGTGTCTTATCCTGTATCATAAGACACAGGAGATTTTAGACATCACTGTTAAGAAAGAGCTGGAACTCAGAATTAACAAGAGAAGAGGGAGAGATTAAACAGAAGATAAATGTGGATCATCAAGGAATTTTAAATTGTAGCACAGTCACTCAATAGAGTATTATGCAGTCATTAAAACTGCAGTGTATTTATTGGAAGGATGTTCACAACCTATTGTTATGTGAAGAAACAAGTTACAGATGAGCAGATCTGGAGGGACATACTTAAAATGTTAGCAGCGGCTCTCTCTTGATGTTTTGATTGTTAGTGATTTTTCGCTTTCTCCTTCATGCCTGTATTACCTGAATTTTTACAATGAGCAATTAATAAAACAATAAATGAACACAAGATTAAGCAAAGTTTTAATCTTGTGAAAATGTATGTGAGTTTTCTGTTGTGAAACTGAAATGATGTCTGTGGCATTGGAAATCCTCAAGGCAAAGAAGGAAAGAAGAGAGCCTCCCGAGTCATACTAATCAGAGGCCTGCACACGTGCTATTTGGTACTCTCTGTACCATCTGGCTCAAGCTACTTCAAGACCTGTCTGGGCCTCAGCAACCTGATCTCGAAATGAAGGGAATATTAGCATCTACCTAACAAGTGGCTATGAAGACCAGAAATGATATCTGTAAAACGCTTAGTGCTCAGACCCCACGAGGCGCCCAGGGCTCCGTGAGTGGAAGCTCTCATAGGAGCAAAGAGCATAGGCTTTAGAAAATGCCTTTCTTCTGGGATCCTTCCTTTACCACTGTGGTGGTCATTAGAGCTGTCTGCAAAAATTCCTCCTCTCCCTTTGAGATAATAAGAGTGTACTTCCTTGGCCCTCTGAAGTTACAGGTACCATGTGACAGCCTCTGGCCAACAAAATAAACAGAAGTAACATGTGCCAGCATTGAGCACTTTGCGGTCTTCTCCTTTTCCACTTGCATGACAACCAGCAGTGTCCTGGTAGTGTCTGCCGAGGTCCTAGATTGAGGAAGAAGCCTCCAGAGACCTTGGTAGACATTTAGCAGGAGGGAGGAATAAATCTTTGATATTGTAAGCCACTAAGATTTGGGAGCTCTTTGTTATCAAAGCTCAGTTTAAGTCACCCTGACTGACACAGCTACTTACTAGTTTCGTGACCTTGAGAAAGTGACCTACCTGCTCCAGTTTGCCATCTATTCCCCTGAAAATCTAGGTGTTAGCATTCCTACTCCATAGGGTTGGAGGGCAAAATGAGCTCCATATCCAAAGTGCTTGGCACATCCTGGCACCTGTTAAGTATACATGGAATGACAGGAACTGTTACCATTTAACACGCTGGCTTCTCTCCCCATCTCTTAAATGGGAGCAGGTGTCAATGCCGAGGGGATCATCTGATGCTTCCATCTTGTCTTCCTACCATTGGATTTGCTTTATGGCAGCCATATGAATGGAGATATTCCTTTGAATAAGAGATGGCAGTGGCAATGTAGGTAAGAAAACTCATTCAGACATTATTTACCATGTCCTTTTCATCCTTGGAAGAAATTCCAAATGTTCATGTCCTAGCAGCTAGAGTCAGCAGCCACATGACCAGTAGGACAGGTCTCTACCACGATGGCCAAGGGAATCCTCTGGAGAACTAAGAACACCAGAAGGTTCCAGTGACCCTCAGGGTCACACAGAGAACATGAATAAGATTTAGAGAGATGGCTATAAGGATGGTGACCACCAGTTTCTTCTAGAATAAACCAGTTTTCTTATCCTCTCTGGGTCATAAAAATGCAAGTGGTATTGAATGTGTGTGTGTGTGTGTGTGTGTGTGTGTGTGTGTGTGAATGACAGTTGTGTGGCAGGTTGTTCTGATGCTCTGTGGACTCCCCTGCTTGGGGAGTGGAGAGCATGTGGCCATTTAAAAAAAAATCTGGTTTTCAGGGCATAGGAAAGCTTTGTATCCATTACTACCTAATCAGGAAGGCTTGCAATTCTGACGGCAAATGAACAGTCCTCTGAGGGTGCTTGGGCATGAGGACAGACACCTCAGAGAATCCAGGAGTGCAATGCATGGCTCCTCTCCCCAGTGGGGCTCAGCAGGGGGTATTGTCACACCTTCCCAATTTGGAGAGGGATATAAGCCCAAGGAAATTCTCAGGCAATGCACAATGGAGTCTCTGTTACCTGGATTTCAGTTACTAAAGCCTCATGTGAAGTGAAGCACTGAGAAAACCTCTCCACTACCTCTGAGAAAGAGTAGCATGCAACAGTGAGTAATGAGGAACCATAGCTTTACATTTCAGGGCACTTTCTAGTTAACCAAGTGTCTTCACACGCATTGACTCATTTCATCCTGACAATGAAAGGATCAGTCACATAACAGAGAAGTTTTGCCCCACTGTGCCTCTACTTGACTCGCTGGAAATCGTTAGTCTTTCTAGACTTTTAAGCCCTCCACCACTACAGAAGACAGCGGAAAAGCAGAGGAAAGACAGGGAGTTAGTTCAGGGACTTGGCAGCCCCTCTCAAATGAAGATCATTAAGCAGTGGGCACATAATTTGACTATGACATGGGCATTCGACTTGTGTTTCTGTCACAACCAACACACAGCTGCCTCCCCCTTTCTAGATCCATTGCACGGATCCATGCTTGGAGAGCCACACCCCTGGATTGCTCCTGCCCCAGCTCTGCACACACCCACCCATCCTCTACATTGCAGCCCGACTCATCTTCCTAAGCACCATTCTCATCGTGGCAGTGCTCATGAAACGCTTTCTAGTGCCTAAGTACAAGCTCCTAGGCCCATCGTTGATGGACCCCTGAAGACTGGTCCCACCCTACCAATTCCTACTTTAGTCAAAAGTGCATTTCCAAGTTGCTTCCACCCTGGCTGGAATGTCCTTCCTTCTCTCTGCCACAAATCAAAATTCTACACACAAGGCCAGTTAGATGTTATAGCCTCCATGAAAATGTCATTGACACCTCCATGGACAAAGGCTTTCCATACCCCTGAATTTCAGTAGGTATTTTATGGCTCAGCACAGCTGTCTTCAAACAAGGCACCACACCTAGTCCTCTGGGCCTGAGACTTTCCAAAGGGGCCCACAGACAAGGATATTTTGAAGGAAAGCAACATGCAGATCTTCAAATTCAATATCTGCTTTTTATTAAACACCCATTTCCCTTTCACAGTGGCTTCTATTCCACTTACAAAAGAGAAGCGTCCCTCTCCTGCATTTCCAGTCTTTCTGGGATGCCTTGCTCTGGGGTTTAAAAAACCCTCCTGGACACCAAATAAAAGAAAAATGGAAAATATTGGTGTAGGTATAAGGGAGTGAGTGGCTCTAAGTTTACCTTAACAAAGGACCACAAGCGGCAGGGCTTAAACAACAGAAACCTATGGTCTCGCAGTTCTGAGGCCAGAAGTCCAAAATCAAGGTGTTGGCAGAGTTGGTTCCTTATGAGGCCCCTGAGGAAGACGCTGTACCAGGCCTCTCTCCTTGGCTGGTAGATGGCCATCTTCCTCCTGTGTCTCTGCACATCATCTTCCCTCTAGATGTGTCTGTCCCTATGTTCAAATTTCCTCTTTTTATAAGAACACCAGTCATAGTGGATTAGGGCCTACCCTAATCACCCCATCTTAACCAATTATATCTACGATGACCCTATTTCCAAATACAGGCCCATTCTGAGGTACTAGGGGTTAGGACATCAACATATGCATACGTAGGAACAAAGTTCAGTCCTTCACAGACTAGGTAACAAAGGCTTTGCAAACCATACAGTTTCCAATATTTTGATTTCAACAAAACTGAAGGAGGATCTAGTAGAGTTGTCAGCTGACAGATCATTAGAAAATCATCTCTGATCATACATTACCATGTGATTTGGGGCAAATAAGTCAGAAAAGATTATTTGCCCCAAAAGACAAAAATTGAAAGACAATTTTTGACTTATTTGCCCCAAAAGACAAAACTTGAAAGACATTTTTACAACAAAACTTTTTCCATTCCCCTCTCCTTATTTATAAGAACAAGGATTTCTCATCTCTAAGAAATGAGAAATAGAAATAGAAATAGCATTAATGCCACACACTGTCATCCTAGCAATCTAGCAATGAGTAGCAAGTCGGGAGGCTGAGGCAGGAGAATCGCTTGAACCCGGGAGGCGGAGGTTGCAGTGAGCCGATATGGCGCCATTGCACTCCAGCCTGGGCAACAAGAGTGAGACTCTGTCTCAAAAAAAAAAAAAACAAGAAAAGAAATGCAAACTTCCAATAAAACTTTACTTTTCATGTTAGCATTTATAAAATTTGATATTCATTTAGGTTGTTTGGATCAGTTGTGTAACACTAGTCATTGCAATGAGAACTCAATTCAGAGAACTCTTAGAGCCTATGGTCACAAGAATTTCAAAGTGTATAAATTTTAGTTTGTATACATATGTTTGATAGATAAAAGTACAACGAGATATTCAGTAAAAGACTTTCTATCATTATATTACATTAGCATAAAATTCTGAAGGGGAAGTAGAATGGAAATAAAATTTCAAAGAGAAAATGGAATACAATTTTTGCTTGCTGAAGATGAACTGGCATGTGTATTTCTTAAATGGATGATGGTGGGTAACAAACTGTGATGGGATGTGAATTCCATTGAGATGCATTTAAAAGAGTGATGTCACAGTTTTCTTTTAAAATGTCAACATTTACAATATGCTAGAATTCACATGTTTATAACTATTCAAATGTATGATAAAATTATAGGTATCGATTTAAAAATATGCAAAGAAGAGCATTGTTTTCTAAACTATTTTAGGGTTCTTGAGCAAAAACTTTAAAGACTAATTCAGCATACAGTGACAAATTTTGTATTGTTCTTTAGTTGTCTGAGTGCCTCGGGGTATGTTAATCCAGGGAGATTAACTGAGTTTTGTCTTTTTTTTTTTTTTTTTTTTTTGAGACAGAGTCTCACTCTGTAGCCCAAGCTGGAGTGCAGTGGCATGATCTTGGCTCACAGCAACCTCCACCTCCAGGGCTCAAGCGATTCTTGTGCCTCATGTAGCTGGGACTACAGGCGCGTGGCACCACGCCCAGCTCATTTTTTGTATTTTAGTAGAGACAGGGTTTCACCATGTTGCCTAGGGTGGTCTTGAACTCCTGAGCTCAGGCGATCTGCCCGCCTCAGTCTCCCAAAGTGCTGGGAATACAGGCGTGAGCCACCTCGCTCAGTGAGCTTTTGTCTTGACTAAGCATTGTCACCATTTTCACCCACAAGTGGAATGATGGGATTGGATGCAAGCTTGAAATCTTTGATTCCCTTCAGAGAGGGAGCATGGTGGCAATGAAAAGTACATGGTCTCAAAACCACAGTGAGATACTACTTCACACCCATTGGGATGGCTATTATTAGAGAGAGAGAGAAGAAAATAAGTGTTGGCACAAATGTGGAAAACTGGAACCCTGGTTCCAGTCCCTGGTGCAATACTGGTGGAAATGGAAAACAGTGTACCCACCGGGGAAAGCACTATGATGATTCCTCAAAAAACTGAAAGTAGCACTACCATAGGATCCAGCAATCCCACTTCTGGGTATATATACCCCAAATAATTGAAAGCAGGGCCATGAAGAGATATTTGTACACCCATGTTGATAGCAACATTATTCACAATAGCCAAAAGGGGGAAACAACCCATATGCCCATGGCAGATGAATAAACAGATAAATGGTGGAATATCCATACAATGGAATATGATTCAGCCTTAAAGAGGAATGAAATTCGCATACATGCTACAATATGGATGAGCCTTGAAGGCAATATGCTAAGTGAAATAAGCCAGCCACAGAAGGACAAATACTGTGGGATGTCACTTATATCTAGAATAGTCAAACTCATAAAGACAGAAAGTAGAGTGCTGGTTACCAGGGACTAGGGAGATGGGAGGAGAATGAGAAGTTATTATTTTACAGATTCAGAGTTTCAGTTATGCAAGATGAAAAAGTTTTGGAGATGAAACCAAGTGAGGTAGCATGCATCTGTAGTCCCACCCACTCAAGAGGCTGAGGCAGGAGGATTGCTTGAGCCCAAGAGTCTGAGACCAGTCTGGGCAACATAGTCAGACCCTGTCTACACAAAAAATAAAAATTAGTTGCGTGTGGTGGTGCACTCCAGTAATCCTCACTACTCAGGAGGCTGAGGCAGGAGGATGACTTGATCTCAGGAGTTCGAGGCTAGCCTGGACAACATGGCAAGACTCCATATATTTAAAAACAAAATGTTCTGGAGGATAGTGGGGTGGTTGCACAACAATGTGAATGTACTTAATGCTACCAACTTTATACTGAAATATGGTTAAGAGGGTAAATTTCACTTATGTATATTTTATCACAATTTTTTAAAGGATATGGTCTTTGCATTTGGAGAGATCTAGTCTCAAATCCAACATCTCCTAGGTATGACCTTGAACAGGTTGCCTAAACTCCATGAGCCTCAGTTTCCTCCTGTCTAATGGGAATAAAAACACCTAACTTAGAGGATTTTTATAAGAATGAAAACATAAACAGATCTGTAGCGGATTCTGTGGAGAGCCACCCTTCAGGACTCAGGTGCCACTGCCCTAGCTGCTGGGGGTGTTGACTGCTGGCGGCCTACAGCTGTGTCGCTCTCCAGGCATCCGCTCCCACAGGGAGCTGCCTAGCCCAAGTCTATAACCCCTCTTGGGAGACAGCAACTGGTTGATGCTGGTTTATAAGGTCCAGCCCTCTTGCCTCAACTGGAGGAAACTCTGAAGGGTCCTCCCAACCCCACAGCTTTGGCGGGATCAGTTGGGGGTCTGTGTTGAGATACCCCACGTTCTCCCTCTTCCCAGCCCTGCTTCTCTCTTGTTCTTCTGCTGGTGGGAGAACAGGGCTTCTGCCTGTGCATTGCCAGCTCAGAGTCTGTTTCCAGGTAACCCTCTCCTGCTTCAAAATGTTCCAAGAGCTGCCCGTTGGCCTCAGAATGAAACCTGCAATGATTGTCATTTCCTGCAAGACCTGACACAGCAGAGTCACTTACTGTCTGTCCTGTTTCTTCTCCTGCCCCTCCTCCTGCCTCACCCCATTCCAGCCGCCCTGGTCTCAGGAATCCCCACAGCGCCTCTATACTTGCTGTTCTCTCTGCCTGGACCCTCGGCCTCTGGGGTTCACTTCATTCTTCCAGCCCACCCCGTCAGAGAGGCCTGTCTAAAATATCCCCTAGCTGGGCCCCAATGCCCCTCTATCCCTGTACCCTACTTCTTTTTCTTTTTCTTTTCTTTTGTCTTTTTCTTTTTCTTTTTTTTTTTTTTTTTTCTTTTGAGACGGAGTCTCGCTCTGTCACCAGGCTGGAGTGCAGTGGTGCGATCTCGGCTCACTTGAACCACCTCCCAGGTTCAAGCTATTCTCGTGCCTCAACCTCCCGAGTAGCTGGGATTACAGGCACACGCCACCACGCTTGGCTAATTTTTTTTTTATTTTTTATTTTTATTTTTTTTTTTAGTGGAGACCAGGTTTCACCACGTTGGCCAGGATGGTCTCAATTTCCCGACCTCGTGATCCGCCCACCTCGGTCTCCCAAAGTGCGGGGATTACAGGCATGAGCCACTGCCCCTGGCTCTTTATAGCATTGATCATTCCCTGAAATGATCGTGCATACTCATTTGCTTATAAGTACTAGAATGTTTCCCAAAGGCAGGGACTTGCTCTGCCTTCTGCCCTATGGTTCTCCCAGCAACTAGAATCCCTGGCACATACTAGGCACTCCAGAAACATTTGTGGAAAGAATTAATGAATTAGAGCTAATGCACACTGAGCATATAACTCAGTGTATACCATATGTCAGGGCCTCACAGATAGTACATTATTATTTTATTATATTTCTTGTCTGTCCAATTCAGACAGAGAATGTCAGACAAGGTCCTTTTTTTGTATCCCTTTCTATAGCACCAGGCACAGAAGCCCTCCATAAATACTTCTTAACTAGACTTAATATGTTCTAAAGCCAATGGTGAGATAGAACTGAGATTATTTTTTTCGTGGCTGGCTATCAGTTCTATTTCATTTGAATGGCCAAGATTCTCTCACAGCACATCAGGTCTCTATTAAAATTAATTATGATCAGACTCTATCCATCCATCACTTAGGGAGAAAAGATGACAGAGGTGTCCCTCCAAAGTCATCCTGGCCACTCCTGGAGGTGGAAGATTGCTCTGGGGCCCAATGTGACGTGTCTTCACTCTAATCATCAAATATTTTTAAATATTACTCAATAATCTCTAAGAAACTACAAAAAGGGAGGTCATCAATGTGAGTTCTGCCCCCAAAATCACTTAAAGTCCAAACTTGGCAGAGAAGAGAGGCCCCATCACTCTGCACCTGTTCCCTAGCCAGTTCTCACGGCCCAGGGCAATTTCCCCTTTCACTTCCCCTCAAGGGGAATGTACCGCCAAGCACTCCTACCTGGTTTGACATCCCATGTTCATGGCTGGATAATGACAGAGCCCTTCATGAATTCTATGGCATGCAGTATCTTCTGCTCTGCCATGTTCAGGGAGGAGAGAATACACATGCACAGCTGAAATCCCCTAGACAGTTACCATGTATCTATCTCCGTTCAGTGAAACAAGCCTGCAGAATGCTGTGAGCATTCTTTGTTCTTCTTCCTTTTTTGCAGATGTAAGAAAACCTAAGAAAGGGAAGCCATGTCCCTACCAGTAGGAACGCTTTCAAAGGAAGGGAAGGATGTGACAGCTGGGTGCCAGGCATGGTCCTAGAGAAACTGACATCCATTTTGTACTTTAATCCACATCAGGACACTTCAAGGTAGCTGATATTGTCTTCAATTTGCAGATGAGGAAAGAGATTAAAGAAATTAAGTGATATACGTTGGGTCATGTGGATGATAAATCATACACCAGGATTTGAAGTAAGCTTCCTCTGATTCCAGAATGTCTTCTAAGAATCTGCTACACTGCAACGTGCCTTTGGGCTGGTTAGTTACTCCCTTGAGTCCAAGCTTGGTTATCTTCCTTAATAGCTCCCTCTCTGCCCTGGATCCTATTTTTAAAAAACAACAGCTATAAAAAGTTACCCTACCAGATTAAAAAAGTCACCAATCTACAACAATTAAAACAGAACGGTGAGCAGTAAAACAGCAGTTCAAATATAAACTCAGGTGTGTGATAAAAGGAGCATTTCAGATCAATGGAGGACAAGAAGATTGTTCTATAAATGGTATTGGAAAACCTGGTTAGTGAAACAATTAGTAGATGCCCAATAAGTGTTTGTAATTTGTTTTACTGTAAAATTAAATGAGATAACACATGTTCTCCAGCTTCCGCAGTGACTGCTAAGAAAAGAGAGTCAGTGTAACTTTTTGAGGTCTGGACTTCCTAAGTCTCTCATCTAGATAGCACCCAGACCTTCATTCCTTAAAAAAATCTCCTACAATACTTTCAAATTTACAAAGTGCTTTCACTACCCCATTAGTGCAGGGCAGGTGTTCTTATTCTCACTTTCTATATATGGACACTGAGACTCAAGAGAGGTTACAATCGCAGCTGGCGTGGCCGTGTGAAACTTAAAGACGGCTTCCTGGTTCCTCGTGCCATGGTCTTAACACTAAACTCTCTATATATAGTCTCTCCCCACCCCCACCCTCATGTTCACACCACAAAATTTAACAATGGAAAACAAATAACATCAATACTTTACCAAGAGCACAGTAACTAGGTTAATTTCTATGTAATCCCAATCAGTCTTTGCCCATAGCACACATTTTACAACATTATCGTCATAGTTTAATTACAATTTAGTGGCCCATTTTCCCACTTAACAATGCTGTTTACAGTTTTGTAGCAAATGACTGATGTGCATCTTTCCTGTCTCTTGCACACTTCTCTTCTTTAAAGTCATCCATGTAAATCTCCATCTCTAATCCAATTGCTCTTAAATGAATTTCGTTCACTTGAGTGACTGCATTCAGTTGTGTTCCCCTTTACAGGCAGTCATTTATCGCTCTTCCCCCAGCAAGAAGTCCTGTTTCTTTTCCCAATCCATAGGTGACTTTAAATGTTGTTTGGTTTCCTGGGCTTTCAGGATTTCTCTCCTGCAGGTGAACCGCCAGGAGCTCTTCTTCTGCAGGTTCCTGCCTAGGTGTGAGCAGCATAAGGAACTGTCTCTTGCCTTCTTGGAGTTTATGACTATGGCACTCCTGTTAAGGAATCACTCCTCACTCCTTTTTTAACCTGTGGCTTTCCAATTTCACTTCCCCAGGCCAGTCATCACTAAAACCATGACTCACCCCCATGGTTTCCTCTCTGGCAAGGGAGAAATTTCAAACCTGAACATTTTCATCACCGTTATGTATACAGTATGATTCACGGAGACTCTATTAGCGTATTAAGTAAGTCATTATTTTCAATCGTCTACACTGTATGTTAAAAAACAGAGGCATTTTACTGCATACTTAATGTTCTATTCCCCCCATTTAGTAGATGGAAATGGCCTCATAGAAACATATCTGACTCAACCAGTCTCTGTTTGGAAACAATATAGAAAGAGACACAGAAAAGATACATTTTTTGGTCAGTGCCTGTCTTAAATGCTCCATAAGGTCAAGTTCAGTCAACTTGAAATAAGGAGTTATGGGGTCTTAACAAAGTAGCGCTCAAATAGTCTGTCAATAAATATCTATTGAATGTCAGCACCCAACTCTGTAGAAATGGCTGAAGGGAAATGCTGCTAAAAGCCACCTTGTCTGACAAACACATACACTGGCAAAATCTGCCAAAAGAGGGTGACATAAAATGAAGGTTGTAATGTTTTTAAAAGGTTGCTTTTGATCAGGCTATAACTGTAAAGTGCTTTCACTTAATTAAAATAGAGATGATAAAGCTACAGAAGAACAATAATAGTAATTGGGAAAGATACTGTTGTGATTGGTTTTGCTTTCAAGCATCTCCTTGTAAGAGTTTTATGCAAGGGGAGGGGCAAGAATCATTTTTCCTAAGAACTTATTTAATCTATTGATAAGTCTCATAATTTTCTTTTCCATCATTAAGGAGCTTTTCCTGGAGAAAAAGAAGTCCAAATTTCATTTTGGGAGGAAAGAAAGAAAATTTTTAAAAATTATGATTTAGCACGTCTTAGGCTGGGTGTAACTTTTCATGACTCAGCTAACAGGTTAGGAATGGCCAAGCATGGTTGAATATTCTGCTTTTGTGAGGCGTGGGCATTGCCAATAGTTGAAAGTTATGGTAGCTGTAATTCAGAAGCGGGAATAGAAGTGTCAACCTGAGAAAAATGTAGCACTAAAGTAACAAGCCAAATTGCTGGCATTGTCAGTAGCTGTGATTTCACTGTATTGATTGTCCCCTGTGAAATGTGAGGCTCTTTATTTGAATCATTTGTATGGGTGTCATATTGGGTTAATTGCAAAGCAATTGGATTTAATAATAATATAATGGTGTATCCATGTACATCGATTGCTAGAATTGTGAGATGTGAATTGCACTTGATCATGAGGTCGGGCTTCCCGATGCTACAGGATGAGCAAGTCCCAGGCTAATCGTGTAAATTTAAGCTGCCTAGGGTGAGCTTTAACTTATATGCCAGTTTGGATTGTTATTGCAAATGCTTTATAGGCCTGGAACATGACTGGTTATAAATGGGATGGCCTTGAACTTGAATTGTTTTAAAAAGCATAGCTTCATGTTGAGTTAACAGCATGCCGTGAAGATCAGTACCAACATAAACACAGTGAATGAAGGCTTTCTGTTGGCCATGCTTTTTTGTAGAATTTCATATTTGCTAAAATTATTTCAGTTGTAGCTAAGTTGCTTAGTCCCATTAAGTAAGAAATGCAAGAAAGATGGTTCTCGAAATGGGCAGGAATTCCCTGAACAGCATGGTCTCATGCCAAATAAACAAATCAATGACCGAGTTAATAATTTCATAATAATTGAAGATAAAACATAGTTATATATTTGCACAGTTATTTTTAACGTTTAAAATTGGTGGATATGTTTCACTTTTCCAGTTGAAGGATATTCCTTTCCAAAAGGGATGAAACAAGGGAACAATAGATTTTTATGGGAAAATTCCACATCCAAGAGATGAAAGGAAAACTTTAAAAATCAAGACAAATCTGAGGAGGAAAACTTGAGGCTTTAAAGAAAGAAGAAAAAGGAAGAGGAGGAGGAAGAAGAGAATGAGAAACAGATGAGTTAGAAAATGAGAAGATTGGCTGGGCACAGTGGCTCATGCCTGTAATCCCAACACTTTGGGAGGCCGAGGCGAGCGGATCACTTGAGGTCAGGAGTGAGACCAGCCTAGCCAATATGGCGAAATGCTGCCTCTACTAAAAATACAAAGAAATCAGCCGGGTGTGGTGGCGCATGCCTGTAATCCCAGCTACTCCGGAGGCTGAGGCGGGAGAATCGCTTGAACCTGGGAGGCAGAGGTTGCAGTGAGCCCAGATCGCATCACTATGGCACTCCAGCCCATCTCAAAAAAAAAAGAAAAAAGAAAGAAAGAAAATAAGAAGACTGAGTAACCATAAATATTGTCTGGCACAATACAGGCACTCAAATGTTTTTGAATATATACTTTGATTAACTAAGTGAAAAAGGTAGTAAAAAGGTGAGTAATAAATCAAAATGTATTGTCTAGACTGTTGAGTCTGATGTTTCTAAATAGAAACAACAAATGTTCTCCGTTTAGGCCAAGCTTTGCCACATGAGTTTACACTAAAATATCATTTCCACCAGTTATATTGACTGTGTTCACTGTTTGAACTAGTCCAATCTCTATAACGCTTTCTTCATATCATTTGACTTCATGATCAAATTAGAGAGGTGACTGGGAGAACGACTAACTTCCACAATTCATCCAAAAGCAATACAAAATCACTCACCCAAAGCCAGTACTACTGGGACCAAATGCATCCCATTTCCCTTCTGCTTTGGTGAATCTGACTTTCTTACCAACTTAAACAGCATTTTTGGGGGTACTAAGTCAAACATAAAATTAAATATGCCTAATAAGTGTATTTATCTATTAAGACATTAGCTGTATGTATTAGTTTCCTACAGGTTGGTCTTTCTAAGAGCACAGACCAATGCTAGAAGACGTTTATTAAACATTTTTCCAAAAGCTGTTCGCATGAATGTCTTCAGGGCTGAGTGGAGCCCCTTTCTAACTGCTAATGAATTATATGACCACGTGTTCAGAGCTGCGCCTGACTGAAGTTGACAGCTGAATCAACTGAAAAGAAACAGCAGCAACAGAAGAGAGAGAGAGAAAAGCTACTTTTATCTTTTACACAGATCTTTATTTTAATTTGATATATATGTAGTGATAATATTGCAGACTTAGGAGGACTTCAGGAATCTAGGAAATTCTAAAAGGGAGGCCTGAGGGAGATGAAACATCCTAACACTGGGAGGGAAATATATGTTTGTGGATAAAGTTCCACTCATGGTATTCTGTGGTGTCGGGGGACCACAGGAGTTGGCACCCCCTGTCGTGGCTACAGTTCCAATCTCTAGAGTTCCAATTTCTTGCTGTGATTTTACCATGTAGATGCCAGACACTGAATTTTCTTAATCGAAGCAAGACTGCTTAGGTCAAAATAGTAGAATGATGCGAATTTAAGTAGGAGTCAACAAAAGCAAAGCAACATGAACACAATGAATCTTACGTTACTATTCAAACATTTAGGTAGCTCCACATAAACTTTCCTGTTTTATAAAAAGTACAGATATTTTTTCAGATATTACTATGAAATTTGGACCTGATACCCAAGAAAAGTTAAAAATGAAATAACCTTCTCATTCTAAGCATATCCTTCCTCTGAATGATCTGAATGGGCTAATATTATTAAATATGTCATATTTATTATGTATTCTATAGGCACCTTTTTCTTTGTTCATAAGCATTTTATTCTTCATCTGGAGAAACAAAAAATTGAAATCCCTATTTGCTTTCAGTTTCTCCTGCTCTATGGGAGTCCCACCCTCCCTCTTTCTGTGGTATTTCTATGCCCTGCTACTATAACAGCAAAGAAAAACAAGACCACCAGGCACAGTGGCTCATGCCTGTAATCCCAGCACTTTGGGAGGCCGAAGCAGGAGGATCATGTGAAACCAAAAGTTGGAGACCAATCTTCTGGGGAACATAGCAAATACTCTACTAAAAGTAATTTTTTTTTTTTTTGAGACGGAGTTTCACTCTTATTGCCCAGGCTGGAGTGCAATGGCACGATCTCAGCTCACTGCAACCTCCACCTCCTGGATTCAAGTGATTCTTCTGCCTCAGCCTCCCAATCAACTGGGATTACAGGCATGCGTCACCATGCCCGGCTAATTTTGTATTTTTAGTAGAGATGGGGTTTCACCATGTTGGTCAGGCTGGTCTCGCACTCCTGACCTCAAGTGATCTTCCCAGCTCGGCCTCCCAAAGTGCTGGGATTACAGGCATGAGACACCGTGCCTGGCCTAAAAGTAATTTTTAAAAATTAGCCAGCTATGGTAGCACACACCTGTAGTCCCAGCTACTTGGGAGGCTGAGGCGGGAGGACTGCTTGATCCCAGGAGATAGAGGCTGCAGTGAACTATGACCACACCACTGCACTCCAGACTGGGCAACAGAGAGAGAGATCCTGTTTCAAAAAAAAAACAATGAGAAAGAAAAAGAAAAACAAGACACCTACAGTGTTTGTGTGCCAAATCTCACCAAACTTCTCTCCCCTCCAAAACCTGTGCCCTGTGTCCCTGGGCAGACACTGGCTGAAAAAAAATGGGACTCAAGGAGGGAGAAGGAGGGAGGGATTACAAAAAGCCAAATGGTACCACAGCACAGGGAATGCTGCTGGGGCTTCTCTTAGGCTTCAGTTTCTGTCTTATAAAAGATTTGCAGTTTTTATCCTGTCTCGGAACAAACAGAACCACGACTGTTGTTTCACAATCTGTGCAGCTGATTGCATAGACTGGTTGCACATTTCTGATTCTATCACATTTCCAGCAATTGTAAATGTTTCTACCGCTGGGACAGGAGGATGTTACATTGGTTTATTATTGGAAGAAAGGACAATATAACAGGGAGGGATGGCGGGAGACTGGGGGGTGGGAGAAGGCACATACTCACTGCTCTGCGTGATTCGTTGCTTGGCCATCTTCTTCCTGCTTCCAGGCACTTGTTAATGTTCTTACTGACCATATTTCAAACTCGGAAGAGAGGCACCCACTCTAACAATTATGACCATACTTGTATAACCTGGATTATATTTGAAATCAAAACTATCCCAGAAGATCTAGAACATGAGATAGCCCTATTCACAGCATTTCTTCCTCTCCATCCATCTATTAAAATCTACCCCATTGTCTAGGGACTCATCGGAGCATCCCTCCTTCAAGAAAACTCCTTTAGCTATTCCAATGTAGTGTGACTCTCCTCCTGAACTGGTAGTGTGAAAAATAGTCTTATACTTATTATAATGTTGATTACAACTATTGAGTATATTATGGTATTATATAATCACTTCATCCATATTATTTTTACATTTTCACCACGTAAAGGAAATCACACGTTATTTTTATAAAAGTGCAAAAAGGGAAAGTTTTTTTGAGAAATATATATGTATGCTGTGGCATTAGACAGTGGCTCTAATATTTATGTTTTCATGTAGTGTATGTAAATGTTGACCATTACTTAAGCACTGTTTAACATAACATGCTATAGTGTTGGAGGTCTTAGTTTCTGAGGCTGTTCATATTTATAAACTACTTTGCCTACTCCCATAACCCTCTAAAAGAGATATATCTATATTCAGTTTTCACAATTACATTAATAGATGAAGGCATAGATTAGGAGATAACCTATTTAATGATTCTTTTTGTAAGAAGTTTTAAAATCACTAGCCAAGAGAGGAGCATCATCAGTATGGCGCCTAGTGGCTGGGCCACTCTATAGACAGTTATAGTGCCTCATATTTGATGCCTTGTGTTTTCTTGTCTCCTTGTTTTACTATCTCTATTTTTTGTAATAGAATTATACCCCTTTGATGTTTGAAGGGATCAAGTATCATGCCTTCCTTCCTCTACTGCTGCTACCTAGAATGTCCATTGACATTGTCTACATCTGGTCATCTAGTCTTTGCCTCAGCAAATACACGTGATATAGAATATTTCTATCAATATTTGAAATGTGAATGTAACATTTCTAATATTGATGTCCACATTGTCAGAAAAGTTTATTCTTACAGTCAACAAAAATTTGATCCATTACCTCTAACTTCTTTTTTTTTTTTTTTTTGAGACAGTGTTTCACTCTTGTTGCACAGGCTAGAGTTCAATGGCATGGTCTCGGCTCACTGCAACCTCCGCCTCCTGGGTTCAAGTGATTCTCCTGCCTCAGCCTCCCAAGTAGCTGGGATTACAGGTGCCCGCCATCACGTCCAGCTAATTTTTGTATTTTTAGTAGAGATGGGGTTTCACCATGTTGGCCAGGTTTGTCTTGAACTCCTGACCTCAGGTGATCCACCCGTCTCGGTCTCCCAAAGTGTTGGGATTGCAGGCGTACAGGCGTGAGTCACCGTGCCCGGCCCCATTACCTCCAACTTCTAAACTTTGGTCCTAAATATGCTCTCTGAAGGAATTAAAAAAAAATCTACCCCCAATTTTCCAAGAAAGCCCTTCATAAATACATAGCTTTTTCACTGTTCCACATGAATATTCTCTTCTCCAAGTCAAAGGGCCTCAATTCTTCCAATGGTTCTTTTAGGCATTTCAACATTCTTCTCTTTCATTCATTCAATCAACTTTTACTGAAGATCCACTATGTTTAAAGCATTGTGCTGCATGCTCTCTATATAATGATGAGCAAAGTCAGACATGGTTCCCATTCTCATGGAGCTCAGAGACAGGGAAAACATTTATCACATAATCACACTAGTGGATTGATCATTAAAAGCTCAGATAAGGACTCACAAGGAAAAGGCCACCATTCTATGCAAGCGTAAGACAAAGGAACCTGCCTCTGAGAATCCAGGAAAGATTTCTCTGATAAAGAGATGATTGAGTTGAGACTTGAAGAAATAGCAGAATAAATGGGGAGAAGGGAGGACAGACAAAAGAACAGATAGAGGAAACAGCTTGTTCATGGATGCTGAAAAGAGAGGGTGCGTGGCATGTTCAAAGCATGAGAGAATAGCATGATTAGGGTACAGAGAATGAGGGATAGAAAGGTGAGAGGTAAAGTTAGAGAGTCCAGCAGAAATAACATTTTGACTCGAGGTCAGGAGTTCGAGACCAACCTGGCCAACATGGTGAAACCCCGACTCTACTAAAAATACAAATAATTAGCCGGACGTGGTGAGGGGTGCCTGTAATCCCAGATACTGGGGAGGCTGAGGCAGGAGAATTGCTTGAACCCGGGAGTCAGAGGTTGCGGTGAGCCGAGATTATGCCACTGCACTCTAGGCTGGGTGACAGAGCGAGACTCTGTCTCAAAAAAAAAAAAAAACAAAAGAAACCATACGCAATGTAAAAAACAAGGAAAGTAAGAAAAAGAAAACTTTCCACTGATTAAAAAAAAAAGTACATAGTCTTACTTTCAATTTATAGTAGTTTTATTTTTGGAGGGGAAAGAATACTCCCATCTGGTTTTTCTTAATTTCTGGTTCAGGTTGCTCTTACAAATATTGTGGCTACATATTTCTAGCTTATTCATTTATAACAGAATCTGACTCTTTTTGTCTTTTTACAGAATTCTTTGTTGGATGAGTCCCTCTTTTGAACAATCTTGCAGACATGGCTTTTTCTTTTCTTTTCTTTCTTTTTTTTCTTTTTGAGACAGAGTCTCACTCTGTCACCCAGGCTGGAATACAGTGGCACAATCTCGGCTCACTGCAATCTCCACCTCCTGGGTCCAAGCTATTCTCCTGCCTCAGCCTCCTGAGTAGCTGGGACTACAGGTATGCACCACCACGCCCGGCTAGATTTTGTATTTTTAGTAGAGACAGGGTTTCACCATGTTGGCCAGGCTGGTCTTGAACTCCTGACCTCAAGTGATCCTCGGCTTCCCAAAGTGCTGGGATTACAGGCGTGAGCCACCGCGCCTGGCCCAGACCTGGCTTTTTCTGGCTCACCCACATCCGCCACCTCAAACTGTTCCTGCCTCATGCCTCTGTCTCTGTCCCCTGCCCTTCTCCAATTCATTTTGCACAAGCACCAGCCTGCCAGAATCCTATCCCTAAAATCCTGCTTTCATCATTTCTCTTTTCGAAAACTTACAATGGCTCCCTATTTTCAGCACATAAAATGTAATGTTCTGTTTAGAACACACAACAAAGCCCCATGCAATGGCTCACAACTGTAATCCCAGCACTTTGGAAGGCTGAGGTGGGAGCATCCCTTGAGTCCAAGAGTTTAAGACCAGCCTGGCAACATAGCAAGACCTGGCAACATAGCAAGACCCCATCTCTACAAAAAAAAAAAAAAAAAAAAAAAAAAAAATTAGCTGGGCGTGGTAGTGCATGCCTGTAGTTCCAGTGGGCTGAGGAGAGAGAATGGCTTGATCCTGGGAGTTCAAGGCTGCAGTGAATTACGATCACACCACTGCACTCCAGCCTTCCAGCCTGGGCAACAGAGTAAGGCCCTGTCTCTAAAAAATAAAAATAAATAAATAAATAAGGACCACAGAACATTCCACAATCTGGCCCCGTTAATTCATTCAATCGTTTTACCTCCTCCTCCACTGGGCTGGCATCAGAACCAGCTCCCCACATTCCGCTCTGTCCTTCCCTCTGTGCTTTGGTACCTATCTCTCCTTTGTCTGAAATATCCTCTGCTAGTCCCTTCACCGAGTCAAATGTCACCCATCTTTCAAGGTCCAGTAGGAAAACTCTAATGTTGAAATTGCTTTACCTTCTACAAGAAAATTGCCAGTAAAAAACTAACTTTATGGAGGTTTTGCTATGCATGCTCTTTACATGAATTATCTCATTTAGTACTCAGAATAGACCTGTGAGGTAAGCAACATTTTGCAAATGATGAGATTAAGTTAATTTATGTAAAGCACCTAGAACAGTGCCTGCCCATAATAAAGATTCAATAAACGTTGGCTGTCGTTACGCTTACTGGAGGAATTTAGTCATTTTCCCAGATTACTCAGCAGCAAGTGAAAGAGCTGGAATTCCAATTCTGACATCAGAGCCCACCCTCTATCTTGCTAAGGGCAAAAGTGCTCTATTTGCACAGCTCCCACCTTGCCAAACTTCTCCAACTCTTGAATGTTTTAGCCATTGGGGTATCTGTTCTATTCTACTTTGCATGCAAGGGCTAGCTTACTTGCACTTTTACTTTTTCTTCAGTATATGTTTTTTGTTTTGTTTTTTGAGACAGAGCTTGCTGTGTCACCCAGGCTGGAGTGCAGTGGCATGATCTTGGCTCACTGCAACCTCTGCCTCCCGGGTTCAAGTGACTCTTCTGCCTCAGCCTCCCGAGTAGCTGGAATTACAGGCATGCGCCACCATGCCAGGCTAGTTTTTGTATTTTTAGTAGAGACAGGGTTTTACCATGTTGGCCAGGCTGGTCTCAAACTCCTGACCTCAAGTGATCTGCCAGCCTCAGCGTCCCCAAGTGCTGGGATTACAGGCGTGAGCCACTGCACCTGGCCCAGTATACGTTGTCTTAACACTATGACTATGCTGCCATTTGCTCAAGAGTAAAGATCAGTGGTGTGCTGATGAATGTTTAACAACCAGCTCTCCAGGAGGGGAGAGTGATGTGTTTGCTGATTTCAGTGGTATAAACATTCCTCCCACAGCCAATTTCAAGATATCAAAGTAAAGTCAATCATCTCAAAGCTCCTGATATTTTAACAATTAGCTCTTGTGAGTTGGTGCAAGCTGGCTGTGGCACACCACTGATACTAAGGATTGTATCTTGTGCTGTATTCTCTTGTATCTTTCTTAGTTCCACGCACAGTGCTAAGCAAATAGGATGCATGACCACATATAGGGAGCTTCTGGTTCGAGGTTGTAAATTGCATATAAGCATTTATTCAGCCTACTCCCCAAAATCCCATTAAAATGATGATACGCAAAAAATAATACTTCCATGAGAGTGCTTAAACACAAAAGGGTGCCAACAGTCGATTAGAAAATTTGAAAAATGTATGAAAGACACAAAGGCAGACGGAATCCCATTGGTGGATGAACCAGAGGAAATCACAACTGAAATAAGTCCAGATGAGGGCTGCAGTGGAGATGGGAAGTGTATTAGGCCATTCTTGCACTACTGTAAAGAAATACTTGGCCAGGCACGGTGGCTCACGCCTGTAATCCCAGCACTTTGGGAGGCAAGTGGATCACTTGAGGTCAGGAGTTCGAAACCAGCCTGGCCAATATGGTGAAACCCTGTCCCTATTAAAAATACAAATATTAGTCAGGCGTGGTGGTGGGGACCTGTAATCCCAGCTACTGGGGAGGCTGAGGTGGGAGAATTGCTTGAACCCAGGAGGCAGAGGTTGCAGTAACCCAAGATCGCACCACTGCACTCCAGCCTGGGCAACAGAGCGAGACTCCATCTCAAAAAAAAAATCAAGTGAGAAACTTCTAGAGCTCCTGCAGTAAAAATGTACACTCATTCCACAAGAACACTTTCACATCCCCTAGGAAAGAAAAAAATAATAAAGGGCAGTTCACAGTCAAAAATTACAAGGCCCACAAAGAAATAAATTACCATGAGGTGGAGTCAACAGACCCAGCAAATGGAAGAATCAGCCCTCAGAGAGCTGCATATAAAAGCAAGCACACTCTAAAAGAGACTATGAAGTAACTCTAACATGACTAAAGGTATACACAAAGGCATATAAACTATAACGAAAGGAAACGATAATATAAAAACAGAGCAAACAACTTTGAAAAAAAATTGAGTCTCTATACATGAAAAATATGGTCACTGAAATGAAAAACTCAGTGAACAGGGCCAGGGGCAGTGGCTCACGTTTGTAATCCCAGCACTCTGGGAGGCTGAGGTGGGCAGAACACTTGAGGTCAGGAGTTCGAGGCAAGCCTGGCCAACTTGGTGAAACTTTGTCTCTACCAAAAAATCCAAAAATTAGCCCAGCATACTGATGCACGCCTGTAATCCCAGCTACTCGGGAGGCTGAGGCACGAGAATCGCTTGAACCCAGGAGGCAGAGGTTGCAATGAGCCAAGATTGCGCCACCAAACTCCAGCCTGGGTGACAGAGCGAGACTCTGTCTTAAAAAAAGAGAAGAAAAGAAAAGAAAAAGAAAACCTCAATGAACAGGGTAATGAACAGATAAGAGAAATGTGAGGAAAGAATCCATAAATCAGTAGATAGATTTCAATAAATTTCTCAGAATGCAGAAAAAATGCAGAAACATTACCTTATAGGTACCATCCCAAAATTTTGAATCTACTTTGTTCTTTTAGTAACATAATCTCTCTAGATTAGGTCTAAACATGAATTACCTTATACCAGATTCTGCTCTGTAGTGAACTGGCCAAGGGGACAATGTAGCTTAATCCCAGTTTTGTAGAATTCAAATTACAGTTTACACACAGTCATGAGCCAAGTAATGACGTTTCGGTTAACAATGAGCTGCATATATGATGGTGGTCTCATAAGATTATAATGATAATGGAGCTGAAATATTCCTATTGCCTAATGAAGTCATAGCTGTCATAACATTGCAGCACAATGTACTACTCGTGTGTGTGTGTGTGTGTGTGTGTGTGGTGATGCTGGTGTAAACAAACCTGCTGTGCTGCCAGTTGTATAAAAGTCTAACCCATACAATTATGTACATTACATAATACAGCTGAGAATTTTTCAGAACTAAAGAAAAACATAAACAAGTCTTCAGATTTCAGAAGCGTACAAAGGCCCTAGAGGTATAAAAATCAAAAATTAAAATGTCACAATTTGCTACACTATGATGAAACTTCAGAATGTCAATGATAAGAAGAAAAATCTTAACAAAGGACAAAAGCAAATCTCCTAAAAGCAAAAAGCAAAAAAACATCCAATTAAACCATCATCAAATTTGTCATCAGTCTCAATAGATGTTTGTAGGAAATGAATGGCATCTTTGGATCCCATGGGGCTAAAGGAAGATAATTCTCATCTTAGATCACGCTCATTCCATACCCAGTTAAATCTTCATTCAGGACTGAGAATGAAACAAGTACATTTTAAATCAACAATCTTGGGAGTTAGCCACACAATAACCCTTTCTAAAAGAGCTACTAGGCTGGGCTCGGTGGCTCGCGACTGTAATCCCAGCACTTTGGGAGGCCGAGGTGGGCAGATCAACTGAGGTCAGGCATTGGAGACCACCCTGGCCAAAAAGGCGAAACCCCGTCTCCACTAAAAATACAAAAATTAGCTGCGCATGGTGGCGCTCGCCTGTAATACTAGCTACACAGGAGGCTGAGGCAGAGGTTGCAGTGAACAGAGTGGAGATCATGCCACTGCACTCTAGCCTGGGCAACAGAGCGAGACTCCACCTCAAAAATAATAATAAAATAAAATAAAATAAATGACCTACTAAAGGGTTTACTTCAATAAGGAAAACCACAGAATCCAGACAGAAGAAGTCAAGGACAAAATCCAAGGGTGAATAAAGAAATTTGTACATATATTGTCAAATAACAATAAGAAATACTGATAACCAACTTGAGAGGACTTTAAAAATAAGATAATGCTGAGTACCAGCCAACAACAACATGGAAGACTGCAGAGGAAAATCTGAATGAAAAATTCCTAAGCTTCCTATATTAGTCTGGAGGAGAAGAGAGATACTAATTAACTTTACATTCTTTAAGAATTTTTTAAAATAAATATTAAAGGAATAGAATTAGAATGTATAATTTCTTAACCAAAAGAGGGGAAAAGAAGGAAAATAAAAGAATAAAAGAATATAACAATGAGATATTGGCAATATCAATAAGGCAGGAATGAGAGGAATGGGAAAATACCCAAAAATACAAAATCTAAATCAATTCCAAATAAACCTGAATTAACAGCCTAAAAAATATGTTGAGTGATACATAATAAGTTATATGAATACATACATATTTTTAAAAATAAATCAATACAAAATATTGTTCATGGACAGATACATGAAGAAAAATATAAAAACAGGCCAGGCATGGTGGCTCATGCCTATAATTCCAGTACTTAGGGAGGCTGAGGCAGGAGGATCACTTGAGTCCAGGAGTTTGAGACCAGCCTGGCCAACATAGTGAGACCTCATCTCTACAAAAAATAAACAAAATTAGCTGGGTGCGGTGGAGCATGCCTGTGATCCTAGCTACTCAGGAGGCTGAGGCAGGAGGATTTCTTGAGCCCAGGAGGTTGCACTGAGCCAAAATTGTGCCACCACATTCCAGCCTGAGCAACAAAGCAAGACACTGTATCAAAAAAAAAAAAAAAAAAAGGAAAGGAAAAGAAAAATATAAAAACATGGATGGGAAAGATAGTGGCTCCCTCCTGCAGGGAAGGAAGATTGAAGACAGGTACAAAGGGGTTTCAGAGTACCTTCACATTTTTTTAATAATGAGAAACCAAAAAAAGGAAGAAAGAGAAGGAGGAGGAAGAGGAAGAGGAGGAAGGAAGGAAGATCAATGATGAGCCATTCAGTCCAACACAAATAATTGTACACAAACAGGCAACTCAAGAAAACTGCCCCCTCAACAAATTAAAAAGCACAGAAAAACAGATAAGGCATGAGTAAGTACAAAATAAGACCTACGAAGGATGATTTAAAAACGGTTTGTCTTCAGTTACTGGTATTGGCTTTGACCTCCTAACTGGAAAAGAAAATGGATTTAATTTGCTAAAAAAGATTGATACTAGGCCAGGCATGGTGGCTCACGCCTGTAACCCCAGCACTTTGGGAGGCTGAGGTGGCTGGATCATGAGGTCAGGAGTTCAAGACCAGCCTGACCAACATAGTGAAACTCCATCTCTACTAAAAATACAAAAAATTAGCTGGGCGTGGTGGCGGGCACCTATAATCCCAGCTACTCGGGAGGCTGAGGCAGAGAATTGCTTGAACCCGGGAGGTGGAGGTTGTAGTGAGCCGAGATCGCACCACTGCACTCAAGCCTGGATGACAGAGCGAGACTTTGTCTCAAAAAAAAAAAGATTGATATTAGAGTGAAGGGCGACTATGTGACTCTAGGATATTTTAATATTTGACAGAGTTTAGTGTATGTATTTTAGAAAATCTTGTGTCCTTGAAATATTTACAAATAAGAATAATTTGACTAATTTAATAAAGACCTCTTTCTGAAAGCAAAAGGGTACACTACTAGATCACTGGTTCTCAAACTTAGTGATCTGAAAATTTGGGAGTAAAAAACTGCAAACGGTGTTGAACAAGTAAAAGCAACCTCAGGATGCTTCCAATTCTTTTTTTCTTTTCTTTTTTTGTCTGTCTGTCTCCAAGGCTAGAGTGCAGTAGTACGATCATGGCTCATTGCAGCACAGACCTCCTGGGCTCAAAAAATCCTCCCTCCTTGGCCTCCTGAGTAGCTGGGACTACAGATGCACGCCACCACACCTCAGTAATTTTTTTAAAAATGTTTTGTAGAGACGGGCATCTCACTATGTTGCCCAGGCTGGTCTCGACCTCCTGGGCTCAATGATCCTCCCACCTCAGCCTCCCAGGTGCTAGGATTAAAGGCGTGAGCCAATTCTAAACGCCTCAAGCTAAGGAGGTTCCTCCACCCACCACCATTTGCCAGTATTCTGAAGAGGAGGAGGAGGAGGCAGAGGAGGAGGCAAAGGAGGAGGGAGGAGGAAGGGGAGGAAGAAGAGGAAGAGCTCAAAAGTAAAACTAAATCACTCACTACTTTTACCTACACGTTGCTACTTTTACCTACTTGTTCTCTGTCATTTCTCACTAAGGCAAAGAGGTGGATGCAAAGAGAATTTGAATAAATTTGATAGCTTTCTACTACATTTCCTCTCCCACAATTCTTCGTCAGGTATTGGCTCTTCCTTACCTTGGCCAGAGTCAAGAGAAAGGAGGATAGAATTACTTGTCTTTCAAATCAATTATCAGTAGGAAATTTTGCTACCGGTTGTTATTAAGTTTATGGCAGCTAAAAATGTACCTTCTGCTTTTCTGTCTTCTTTCAAAGTGATGACAAAGATTTTTACCCAGACACCAAGACCACCAGACATATCTTGGGTCAGTCCTATAAGACCCTTCAGGACTGCAGAAAGGTACCATGAGTACTTTGGGGACAACCAGACTATATGATCTCAACCATTCCAGCCAGAGGGAGATTCTGAAATGGCATTTTTTCCCCCAATACTCTTTTTTTATTGAGGTATAATTTACATATTATAAAATGTACATACTTTAAATATACAATTCTGTTAATTTTGATGAAACTGTATACCCATCTCAATCAGGATACAGTGTAAAGTCATTTTTAAAGGGAGTTTATTACCTGGATAGACCCAATAGCAATGAAGCACAGTAACTTCTTCAGTTTCCAGATCTTATATTTGAAATGGTAGAAACAGCATCAAAGACTTAACAGCTAATGAGAGACAGTGTGGCAAACAGTGCATTTTACCCCATCTGTAAGAACGGTTCTATTTTCCAAAGTCACTTAGCTAAGCAACAGTAAATGCTATAAATCACTGTAAAGTGATTTGTACTTTCAAGTACAAATCTTAACATTTATATGCTGAAAAGCGATTCATCATACTTTATTTCTTTCAAATTTCCTTACACCGCCACATGAATAAGCGATATATCTTATCTTCTGTCCTATCTGAAAAATCTGGATTAACAGCCTTGGCTGAATTCTATTCTAGCCACAGGAGTACAGGGCTACAAATAGTTCTCTTTAAGTCAAAGGAAAATAACAACAAATACAGGAACACTTCACTCTGAAGTTCCTTTATTTTGGCTTAAGCCTCTCTTAACAGGCTCTTTTCAAGCCTTTGGAGCATTATTAAACGATCCTACTATTGATTTTCAGCGCTGAGTACTGGTGAAAATGGAGCGCCTTCCGCTCTAATGACTGAAGTCCCCTCACTGTCTAAAGGACAGGTACAAAGGCAGGAGACGCACTTGGAGTTCATTCTTACAACCATCCTCATGACTTAGATTTTAACGCCTGGAAATAGGACAGGTGGGAAATAGGACACGGAATTCAACTCATCTCTCTTACTTAAATATAACACTGCTGCTATTTCTGCTACTTGTGAAATTTTTTAAGTATTGGTATATTTTGCTATTCAGCATGAAGCTGTATGCTTCATTTCCACCTTTGAAATCCAAATTTCCAAGTAATCACTTTTAGGAAAGCATTCCTCTATTTTCAGCTTCATTCTCCATGGACCATTTATTTATTTGTGATGCCAAGCCATTGAGTAACCAGAGGTTACAGTAAGAATTCGTCATGCCAGTTTCCATCTTAAAAAGAAAAGCCTTCAAGACAAGCAAACCATTTTTTTTAATGGGTAAAAGAAATGAACAGGCATTTCATATAAGAGGGAAAAGAGAATAGTCTCATAAGTTCAACCTCATAAATAATCAGGAAAGTGCAAATTAAAGCCACAATGAGACACCATTTCACACCCCATCAGATTAGCAAAAATTTGTAGTCTGACAATACCAAGTGTTGATGAGGATGTAAAACTACAGAAACTCTCATACAAATTGGTATGGGGGGAGGTGTCTAAATGGGCAAAGCTTGTTGGAAAGAAATGTGTATTACCTAGCAAAGGTGGTGCACACACCCCTTATCCCAGGTATTCTGTTTCTGGGAGACATGTACACACACATACACACACACACACACACTGGACTGTATGTTAGGGTTAGGTGATATTAGTGTTAATTTTATTGTGTGACAATTCTGAAGTATTTAGGAGTGAAATGTCAAGATGTCTACAACTTTTAAATGGTTCAGCAAAAAACAAACAAAAACGTGGAGAGAGACAAGGAGAAAGAGAGAGAAACAGAGAAAGCAAATGTGATAAAATGTCTTTAAAAGGGAGTGGCAGGCTCTGAGGGCAGAGTCTGCAAGTTTGAATCATGGCTGTGCCAATTATTGATTGTAATCTGGGTAATTTATTGAAGCTCTCTCTACCTCGGCTTAGTCATCTATAGAATAGGAGTAATAGTGGTATATACTTGACAGAGATGTCGCATTAAATAATTCATGTGAAGTACTCCAAGCAGTTGCTGCTTTCTCATAAGCCTTCGATAAATGTTAGTTATTACTTCCGTTAGTTCCATTCTGCAGATGATGTAAATTGAGACTCAAAAAAAGTGAAGTACAGGCCGGGCGCGGTGGCTCACGCCTATAATCCCAGCACTCTGGGAGGCCGAGGCGGGCAGATTGCCTGAGCTCGGGAGTTCAGGACCAGCTTGGGCAACACGGTGAAACCCCGTCTCTACTAAAATACAAAAAATTAGCAGGGCTTGGTGGCGGGCGCCCGTAGTCCCAGCTACTCGGGAGGCTGAGGCAGGAGAATGGCGTGAACCCGGGAGGCGGAGCTTGCAGTGAGCCGAGATTGCGCCACTGCACGGACAGGGCGAGACTGGTCTCAAAAAAAAAAAAAGAAAGAAAGAAAATTAGCTGGGTGTGGCGGCATGCGCCTGTAATCCCAGCTACTCGGTAGGCTGAGGCAGGAGAATCGCTTGAACCTGGGAGGCAAAGATTGCAATGAGCTGAGATCGCGCCACTGCATTCCACCCTGGGCAACAGAGCAAGATTCTGTCTCAAAAAAAAAAAAAAAAAGCTTTGGTTGAACTTCATCACAGCACTTTGTATAGGAGTGAGAAATTACTACCTAGATATTTAATAGGTGAATAGTAATAAACCAAAGAAATATTCTTACACAGAACTCATTTGCAGCCATTAAAATTGTATTTTTAAATGAATATTTAGTGACACAATGAAATGTTCACTATATTATTATACATTAATGTTATATTAAATTTAAAAATATAGGATCCCCAAACATTAATAATTATAAATATATACATAACACAGAGCTACAGATGCACACATATATACATGTGTTTCTGTGTATATATTATATATGAATGTATACATATGACATATAATGTATTTATGTGTACATATATGATATGCTGCATTTATATCTACATATATAGAGACATATAAGGTATACTGGATTCTGTAGGGGGGGGGGCACAGAAAAACCTGGAAGTTTATATACCAAAAAGATTTTGAAGTAGTTAGAAGTGGGTTTCTCTGAATGTAGAGATGGGGAGTGACTTTTCCTTTTTTTTCTCATCTAATCTGTATTTCTTATGTTTCTACAGTGAAAATGTAAAACTAGTGACTGTGGAGAACAATTTGGCAGTATCTAATAAAGTTGTAGATTGTATACTTAAAATCCTGAAACATTTCCACTCCTGGATGAAAGTCTTTACACATGCACAATGCAACACATACAAGAAGGTTCACAGCAACACGGTTTATAATAGAGAAAAAGTGGAAACAAGGCCAGGCGCAGTGGCTCATGCCTATAATCCCAACATTCAGGAGGCCAAGGCCAGAGGATTGCCTAAGCCCAGGAGTTTGAGACCAGCCTGGACAACATATGAGACCTCCTCCCTAAGAAACATAAAAAATAATTAGCCTAGTGTAATGGCACACACCTGTGGTCCCAGCTGCTTGGGAGGCTGAGGTAGGAGAATAACTTGAGCCCTGGAGGTTGGGGCTGCAATGAGTCAAGATCATGCCACTGCACTCCAGCTTGGATGACAGTGCAAGACCCTGTCCGGAAAAAAAAAAAAGATGTAAACAACTTATATCCATCAACAGAAGCATGGCCATTCTAGACAAAGGACGCTTCGGCAGCAGAGCTGCTGTCATCAATGTGTATATATCAGAAAAATATTGTGATATAGCTGGAGCGATACAGCTGCCAACTGTAGAAATGTAAGTGCAGTATGATATCGTTCATATAAAAATTGTTTGAAATGCAAACTAACACTTTATGGTGTACTGTGTATGTGTATACGCCTGTGCATATGTAGTAAACCTTTTAATGCCTGGGAACGATAAACACCCAGTGTAAGGTAATATTTATCTCTGGAATTTGAAGAAGGAAAATGAGATTAGGAAGGAGGAAACGTCAGTGGTGGGGGCTTCGATTACATCTGTAAAGCCTTATCTCTTGGGCTATGTAGTGGACTACATATGGGTTTTTGTTTGTTTGTTTGTTTTGGGTTGTTTTTGAGGGAAGGTCTCATTCTGTTGCCCAGGCTGGAGTGCAGTGGCACAATGCTGGCTCACGGCAGCTTCAAACTCTCTGGCTCAAGTGATCTTCCCACCTCAGCCTACATATGTTTATTATAAAATTCTCTGTAGGTTTTTGTATGCCTGAAATGTTTCATAATTTAAAAGTAGTACTCATATAATGAAATTTTAAAATTAAAATTTAATTTAAATGTGTCTCTGAGAATGTAATTAGTTGAAGGTACAATCATAAACTTCAGGAATAATTTGGAAAAATATTTTTACATTTTTATTTCTGGCAAAAACAGGATTTCCAAACCAGAACATATAATTTCTCCAAAAACAGAAATGATTTTTAATGACAATATTTTATTGTCATTATTACTCAATTTTGTTTAAAACCCAAAGTATCTCCATCAGAGGGAAAAATTAAGACAAAACACTTCCCTTCCTAAAAAAAAATATGTCTAAAAGAGGGAGTTAGTGAAGACATTGAATCTGTAAAAAGTGGTAGTCATTTTATTCTACCAACATATTCTAAATTTAGAGGGAAATCCACGGCTAGAGCAGCCCCTGGGTGACTCAGCCCAGCTTCCAGGCTTGGCAGAGCCAATCAGCACAGTGTGGCCGACTCCGCCAGGGGCTGGATTACACATCTGCACGCGGTTCAACAGCTTCGTTAGTGACACAGAGTCAAGCTAGCTTGAAAAGCAGGTAAGGAAAACACTCGGCGCATTCCACATTTTCCCTTAAGGAGAATTACACCTTCAAGTCAAGCTGCATTTTGCATGCCTAGGACCCCCAAAACACTATTTAAATTATGTACAGAAACCATTTCATCCCCAGTGAAATATATTTGTCTCTTCCGGAGAAATAAGGGGTGACCCAGTCCCCAAAGAGTCCACCCCCCAGGGTGAAGACCCCCGCTCCGCAAGGATCACAGGTGGGTGTTCCAAGGCATCCACACTCTGGTTTTGTTTTTTTTTTTTGTTTTTTTGTTTTTTGGGTTTTTTTTTTTTTTGTATCAACTTCTCTTTTTTTTTTTTTTTTTTTTTTTCCGAGACGGAGTCTCCCTCTGTCTCCACACTCCAGCCTGGAGTGTGGTGCGATCTTGGCTCACTGCGAGCTCCGCCTCCCGGGTTCAGGCGATTCTCCTGCCTCAGCCTCCTGAGTAGCTGGGATTACAGGTGCCCGCCACCAGGCCTGGCTAATTTTTTGTATTTTTAGTAGAGACTAAAAATTCGCCATGTTGTTTCGCCATGTTGGCCAGGCTGGCCTCGAACCCCTGTCCTGAGGTGATTCACCCACCTCGGCCTCCCAAAGTGCTAGGATTACAAGCATGAACCACCGCGCCCTGCCATTAACGTCTCTTAAAGCACACACTCTGTCTCAAAGGCTGGAGGGTTTGGGAACGTTCTCGTCCTTTCTGTGACCCATCTACCACAGTCTTGGGGGTAAAAGCCCCGGTTTAAAAAGCTGGGAAATTCCACCTCATGGCCACGCGGTCTCAGCAGCTCTGGCGACTGGGAAACGTAGGGTTACAGGGCGGTAAAGATCATCAGAAAGGAGGGCTGAGGAGAGAAACTAAAGACTAAAGGTGAGAGGTCACAAACCCTGAAATTAGTAAAGATCTACGTTGTCGGGGGTGGGGGTGCGTGTGCGCCCAGCAAAAAGCCTCTGCGTCCACACAGGGATCCACCGCGGGGCTTCTGGAACTCACAGGCTCCCTCGGAGCCTTCAAAGACGCGACCTGATTGACAACAATTTTGTTTACACACCACACGCCCTGGGAAAGCCACACACCAGTGCCGGCGTTCCAGACGCTTCCTCTGCGCAGAGCCGGCCCAGGACGGGGGCGGGGCGGGCCCTGTTGCTCAACTCACCTCTCCCGCCCCGCACCCGCTCCCCGGGGAGGCGCCGACCCAGCGAAACTGGTGCATGTGTCAGCCGCCCAGCACCGGCCCAGGAGGCCGGCCGCGCCGCAGGCCGGCCTGGGAAAACGCCCAGCGGCTGCAGGCCTCCCGCTGCGCGCTGCGTGGTTCTGCACTGCACTCAGGACCTGTCAGGAGCAACACACACGCACATGCACACGCCCACACACATGCACACAGACACACACGTGCACACACTGCGTCGGTAGGAATAGCTCAGAGGTGCCCTTCCTTTCCAGGCAAAGTGCTTAGTAGCTGAATTCAGCGAGAAGAAATCATCCAAAGGTAACCCTTGCTCTGAGCCCTCCCCAGGAAGAAGAGAGAGGTCACTCTGGAAAAGCCTGGAACCTTCTCTCGCTTGAGGGTGCGGACAGCAGCCCACCTCCCCTTTGGCTAGGCCAAAGATCTCTCCTTCCTTTTAGGCCTAGCTTTCCCTGTCACTAAAAGGGCTACATTTATCCTTAAATATCATCTAAGCTGAAATACTACTACATTGCTTTGCAGTCGGTCATAGTGGAATCTTAGTTTCAGAACTACATTCAACACCTACTGCGCAGAAGCACCACATGGACACTGCCACAAAAATTAACACAGTGGATCCTAACAGAGCTGAATGGGGTTGCTGTGAATATCTCCCTAGTAAGATAGGAAAAAGGCCCATGTGGGCTATGATATTTGTATAAAGTGGTGTCGATGAGCTCATTGCAGGACTAGCTATTTGAACTTAAGTTTCAATGAAGTGTAAATGAGAACTGACTTCACCCTTGACTTTTATTTTTCTCTCCAAGTATTTCTCACTAGCCATTTTCATTTCCTCCTTTTCCTACCATTCTCACCCTCATCTTTCTACCCTCTTCTTGAAGCAGAGCACTTTTTCTCCACACTCTGGAAGGCCAGAGAGGAGAGAGGATTAGAGGCCCGTAAGCAGGGGAAATCCTATCCATTAGAAAAGGACAAGGGCAGAACAGGGGACTTCCGTGCTTCTCCTGCCAAGTTAATACGCTAGGAGAAGCAGCTGGGTCGGGTCTGGACACGCTTTTCTGTTCTGCAGCTCACAGAATTTTTTTTGTCACTTTAACTTCAGTGATCTCCGGTGCCCCCGAAGGCAAGTAGCACACCTGAATCATTAAGCTTCAGATGAGTTGAGTTCAAAGTTTTATTTTCTACTTTTAAAGCCCTCAATAAATTAGGGCAAAGGTACTGGGAACCCAGCCTCTTGCCCTGGCGTTCCTCTGGGATTGTTAAGGTTGGCTAAGCAATCTGCTCTTGAGAAACCAGGTGTAGAGAGACCTGGGTGGAGAGATCCGGGGGTTGTTTGTGGAACTTTCTCCTCCTCTGTGGCATATGCCAGCGTCTCTCAGGAGCAATCCTGCAAGGTTGCCTCCAGAGCTAGGTGGTGTCGACCTGTCTTTGTTATGCAAGTTGCTGAACTCACAGTGTTCCAGCGGAGTGTTCCTGGCCAGCGCATGAATGAGGAAATGGGTCGACACGAATTCTGGGCAGCAGGATTGGAATGCAACACCTCCCCACCCCTGCCTTCCCTGCACCCCCATCTTCTTGGGATAGCTGATACTCGAAGAGAAGCTAATGCTTGATTAAAGTGATACAATACTGTGTAGTCAGACGAACATTCTGAACAAATCTAAGTTGATCTTTTAAAAAACAATTAATTCTTACTGTTGTTGTTGTTGTTGTTGTTGTTGTTTTCTTTTCTTTTCTTTTCTGAGACAGAGTCTCGCTCTGTCACCCAGGCTGGAATGCAGCGGCACCATCTCGGCTCACTGCAACCTCTGCCTCCCGGGTTCAAGCGATTCTCCTGCCTCAGACTCCCAAGTAGCTGTGATTACAGGCGCCTGCCACCAAGCCCGGCTAATTTTTGTATTTTTAGTAGAGACGGGATTTCACCATGTTGGCCAGGCTGGTCTCAAACTCCTGACCTCAAGTGATTCACCCACATTGGCCTCCCAAAGTGCTGGGATTACAGGCATAGACCACCGCGCCCGGCCTAATGGCCTAATTCTTTCTTTTCTGTTTCTCTCATCTTTATGTGGAATCACGTTTTGTCCTGGCTCTCAGGTTTTTACGTTTCCAGCAAAATAGTTGTTTTTAAGATTTTTACATTGTATTAACAGAGGGGAATTATTGTTTTTTTCTCTGAACACTGCCTGCCTGCATATCCCCTGCCTCTGGAGCAACTAACATGCTTTTGAATTCTGGCTGCAGAAGTGACATTTGGTGTCATTTTCCAGGTGGTGCTGACTGTCTCCCCAGGAACAATGCGGAGACCCTGGGATTTTGTATGTAGGGTCTGAGACACAGGCGGGAATGTAGAGCAACAGAAGGAAGTTCTCTTAAGGTTGCTTCATTCCAGACCCCTGGGATGCCCCCACAATTACACCAAAATTCTGTTCTGGAAGATCTGCCCACTCCAATCAGATTCCCAAGGCCAAGACAAACAATAAAACGCATGACCATCACAACAAAAGGAGGTGGGAGGATAAACTATGGTGAGGTCAGCCCCCTAAAGAGTGAGCTTATTGGCCGAGGCGGCCAACACGCCTGTAATCCCAGAACTTTGGGAGGCCGAGGTGGGCGGATCACGATGTCAGGAGATGGAGACCATCCTGGCTAACACGGTGAAACCCCGTCTCTACTAAAAATACAAAAAAAAAAAAAAAAATTAGCCGGGCCTGTGGCACACACCTGTAGTCTCAACTACTCAGAAGGCTGAGGCAGGAGAATCACGTGAACCTGAGAGGCGGAAATTGCAGTGAGCCGAGATTGTGCACTGCACTCCAGCCTGGGCGACAGAGTGAGACTCCGTCTCAAAAAAAAAAAAAGAAAGAAAAAACAACAGGCTGGGCGCTGTGGCTCACGCCTGCTGTAATCCCAGCAGTTTGGGAGGCCAAGGCAGGTGGATCACCTGAGGTTGGGAGTTCGAGACCAGCCTGGCCAACATGGTGAAACTTCGTCTCTACTAAAAATACAAAAAAAAAAAAAAAAAAAAAAAAAAAAAGCTGGGAATGGTGGCGCGTGCCTGTAATCCCAGCTACTTGGGAGGCTGAGGCAGAAGAATCACTTGAACCCGGGAGGCGGAGGTTGCTGTGAGCCAAGATTGCACCACTACACTCCAGCCTGGGCAACAGAGCGAAACTCCGTCTCAAAAAAAAAAAAAAAAGATTGAGAATATTGATTTCGTTCACATCTTCTTTTTGAATGGACTGGAAATTAGAATTTAAAAAAACAGAGACTTTCTTCCGGAAGATAACAAAAAGTGAAAGTGAACCACTTTCTACAGGTAAAGGAAATACCTCTCATTGTGCTTCATAAAGTGATCTAAACCTATTGGAAGTGACATCCAGGAGACATACAAGCTCACATGGATGAATGAGGCTAGCATGCTGTGAGCTCCAGGAAGTTTGAAAGAAGCTGAGAAATGGCCCCATTGCTCATGACCATCCAAGGCAGTCTCCAGTGATCTTCATGGTGACACCAGCCACTTCTCTTCTTATGTTATTTACTAGTAGGTGATATCAGTCCCTTCTCACACTGCTCTAAAGAACGCCCGAGACTGGGTAATTTATCAAGGAAAGAGATGTCATTGACTCACATCCACATGGCTGGAGAGGCCTCAGGAAACTTACAATCATGGTGGAAGGGGAAGCAAACCCGTCTTCTTCACGAGAGAGAAGTGTCAAGCAAAGCAAGGAAAAGCCCCTTCTAAAACCATCAGATCTCATGAGAATTCACTCACTATCATAAAAACAGCATGGGGATAACCGCCCCCATGATTCAATTAACTCCCACCAGGTCCCTCCCATAATACGTGGGGATTACAGGAACCACAATTCAACATGAGATTTGGGGTGGGGTGCGGTGGCTCATGCCTGTAATGCCAGCACTTTGGGAGGCCAAGATAGGCAGATCACAAGGTCAGGAGGTGGAGAACAGCCTGGCCAACATGGCGAAACCTTGTCTCTACTAAAAATACAAAAATTAGCCAGGCGTGGTGGCACATGCCTGTAATCCCAGCTACTCAGGAGGCTGAAGCAGGAGAATTGCTTGAACCTGGGAGGCAGTGGTTGCAGTGAGGCGAGATCGTACCACTGCACTCCAGCCTGGGCAACAGCAAGAGTCCGTCTCACAAAAAAAAAAAAAGGGCCAGGGGCCCCGTGATTCACGCCTGTAATCCCAGCACTTTTGGGGGCCCAGGAGGGCAGATCACCTGAGGTCGGGAGTTCAAGACCAGGCTGACCAATATGGAGAAACCGCATCTCTACTAAAAATACAAAATTAGCCAGGTGTGGTGGTGCATGCCTGTAATCTCAGCTACTTAGGAGGCTGAGGCAGGAGAATTACTTGAGCCCAGGAGGTGGAGGTTGTGGTGAGCTGAGATTGTGCCATTGCACTCCAGCCTGGGCAACAAGAACATAACTCGGTCTTTAAAAAAAAAAAAGGGGGGGGGGTGAGATTTGGGTGGGGACACAGCCAAACCATGTCATTGACGTTCTGCTTAGAGTGAAGGATCCCTTTCCACTTTACTCAAGAGAATGGTCATGCTTATAGTACTTTATCTCAGTGTCCTCCACAGCATTTTGCTGAGGAATCAAATCCGTCTGTTATTATGGGAAGAGTACAGACTTTTAGGGAACTGAGATAAGAAAATCCTTTGGCTGGAATAATTTGTTCTTTATTTTACTAAGTCTCTCAGTAACATAGTGAACCTATCTGGGCGGTAAATAGATTCAAAGTCATAGGGGAAATGACCCAAATATTTTATTTTGTTTTTACGCTTTTGTTATGCTGAGTTAATTTAGAAAATCAATGATACCCCAAGTGAAATAGCCTTTACTTAAACCCTTACAAATAAACTAGACATATGTCCTTAAAAACAAATTAAAAACCAACCAGGCACAGTGGCTCACACCTGTAATCCCAGCGCTTCCGGAGGCTGAGGCAGAAGAATCACTTGAGGCCAGGAGTTAGAGACCAGCCTGGGCCACATAGTAAGACTCTATCTCTACAATAAAAATAAAAAAATTAGCCAGGCATGATGTCATGTGCCTGTCATCCCGGCTACTCAGGAGGTTGAGGCAGGAGGATTGCTTGAACCCAGGAGTTTGAGGCTGCAGTAACCTATGATTACACCACTGCACTCCAGGCTAGGCAACAGAGTGAGACCTTATCCCTTAAAATAAATAAATAAAATAAAAACAACTTTTTTCTTTTTTTTGAGATGTAGTTTCACTCTTGTTGCCCAGTCTTGAGTGCAATGGCCTGATGTTGGCTCACTGCATCCTCCGCCTCCCGGGTTCAAGCAATTCTCCCGTCTCAGCCTCCCTAGTAGCTGGGATTACACACATGTGCTACCAGACCTGGCTAATTTTTGTATTTTTAGTAGAGATGGGGTTTCGCCATGTTGTTCAGGCTGGTCTCAAACTCCTGACCTCAGGTGATTCACCCACCCCAGCCTCCCAGAGTGCTGGGATTACAGGCGTGGGCCACCAAACAACTCTTAATTGCTTAAATAATGGTGCAAAAAAGAATTTGTTTAATCAGCAGACCAAGGGACCATTCATAGAATAAGAGATAGATGAATTGGACTGATGGGGAAGTAGGGGGAATTAATTTAAGTTACTGATTGTTCCTTTTCTCAAAATTCTTTGGCAAAAATTAAGGTATGCCAAGTATCTATCAGTTTTATGATGACAAGACCATAAAACTTGTTTCATTAAACATTTCCCTTATCTTACAACTGTCTAAACAGGAATTTTCCCATTTAGCACCCTATCAATCCAGAGTTAGGATTATGCTGCAGTCTAGGAGGTCTCATATATCAAATGTTAATATTTATATAGTTATTAAAATATTTGATAATTTGTACAGGGGCTCTGTAAAATTAAGTATCACATGCCATTTATAGTATTGGAAAAGAGTATAAATAGAAAATTATGTTCTAGCCTTTGGTGTTTTGTTTTGTTTTGTTTTTGAGATGGAGTCTTGCTCTGTTGCCCAGGCTGGAGTGCCGTGGTACAATCTCAGCTCACTGCAGCCTGTGTGTCCCAGGTTCAAGGGATTCTCCTGCCTCAGCCTCCTGAGTAGCTGGGATTACAGGCATGCACCCCCATGCCTGGATAATTTTTGTATTTTTAGTAGAGAGGGAATTTCGCCATGTTGGCCAGGCTGGTCTCAAACTCCTGACCTCAGGTGATCCGCCTGCCTCAGCCTCCCAAAGTTCTGAGATTACAAGTGTGAGCCACCGCTCCTGGACCCTAGCCTTTGGTCTTTGCTGTAACACTTGTAAGATGACATTTTTATGTGGTAGGTGTAAGGGAACACTTCTTTAAAGTACAACATTTAAGCAAAAGCTTTTACATTATGTTGTGCCGTGGTTTTCAGACTGCATTTATCCACAGACTCTTTTCCAAACAAAATATTAAGTAAAAGCCAAGTAAATAAAACAAATGTGAACAGAGTTGTTGAGGGAGCAGTGGAGGGGTGTTGGTGATCCGCACCCTCTGAGGGGCAACAAATGCCCCTTAGAGGAACACCGGACCTGTAGGAACTTGAAAGCCGATGTAGTAAGGCTTATTTAAAAGAAAATAAATGAAAGGTGCTGTTTGAGATGACATATCTTTTCCTTGCAGCTGCATGCATGTATGCATGTGTGTGTGTTTGCAAAATACCATTTAATTAATATCCATTTCTTATCTCTATCATTGTTACTTTCAAGCTGTAACTTTTGTGGCATTTTAGGATAGTGCAATACACAATTTGTCTATAAGTTTCAAATTCCATTTTTAAAAAAACTGCAGTACAAAGGTTTTTTTTTAATGTGCACATGGAATGTGCATCCCACACTCCATGTATTGCAATGTATACATTAATATAAAATTTTTACAACTTGAAAATATCAAAATTAGCTATTGGCTGAAATCAGCTGGATCTTTCTACATTTGTTTAGATGGTCAAGAGAACACATTGTGTCCGATTGGAGAGTATGTTAGCATCCTTGCACAGCTGTGCTGCCAAAAAGATACCTTTTCAGCTGCCAAAAAGCTCCTTTCAGGAGCAAAGGTATAGGAGGTCATGCAGAGAACCAAAGAGTGATGAGGCACACAACATATTCACGCTTTCCTTGTAAAGCAGAGATTAATAAGCAAGCACACAAATGAAGCTGAGACAGCAAGGCTGAAACTTTGGTTTAGTTGAGTTTGTATTTTCCACCTTTGGCCAATACTTTTTTCATGAAACTCAAGCAGAAATTGTGGAAGAGACAAATCCAGAAACAGACCTTCTCATAAATCCAAAGCATTAAATCTTAGGCTGAATAGAAAGGTCTATGATTTTGGCCTGCTATGTATGTACAGTTAAAATAAGAGAGGTTCGTGTGACTTTTATCTACTGTAAGATTATTTATGTGTACGCCAACATACATTTTCAAATTGGATGCTTAATGCTGCATTTCTTTAAACATGTCATTCTCTGATTCAAGCTAAGTTGGAATTGTTTAAGTTCTATTGGGGCTTTCAAGAGAAATACTAGAGAAGAATCTACTGTGAACCAAATTAATACACTAATCTCCAGTTTGGTTTTTGGCAGCTTTGCTTCTGCCAGGGAATATTAGCTCCTGTAATTGTAGCCATTGTGCAACTAATTGTATATACAATTATATTGCATGCATTTTGATGTTTGTAAATGCAAATGCTTTAGAGTGAGAAACCACCACAGGCTTAAATGAGGAAGATGGACAAGTGGGTGGATCTGTGGGTGTGGCCACCTGGCCAAGCCTGTCCACAATGTCTTGTAATGAGGCTCCAGCTAGGAGCTTCCCCGACCTTCAGTGTAGTTTGGCAAGTGGAGGATACCTGTCTTTGTAAAAGCATCTGAGAATGATAATATTTTCTATCCAATTTATTCAGATTGTATTATCTAAGATGGCCTTTATTTTCAAATTATATGATCTATACAGTATTTGAAGTTTCCTAAGAACATAGGTAAAAGGAAAAAGAAAAGTGCTTATTATATGTTATGCAATACTTTCTTAACCTACCTCACAGAATTAGTGTCAGGATCAAATAAACTTGAAAATGGTAAAAGACATTGCAAACTGTGAAAAAGGATTCACATCTATTGATATAAACACGTTTGAATTACATTTCGGCCTTGAAATAAACATGAAAAGTTCAGATGACCACGTCAGCCCTCTCCTGTGAGAACATGTGATGTTCGTTTTTTCTTCAGCAGCTTTATTGGAGTATAATTTACATAACATAAAATCCATTCATTGTAAGGCTACAACTCAAGGATTTTTAGTAAATGTATACAGATGTGCAGCTATCGTAGAATCCATTTTAGATTCTATTTCAGGACATTTCTAACACCCTAAAAATTTTCTTATGCCCATTTGTAGGTAATCTCTGCACTCACTCTAAGCTCTAAGAAATTCCTGATGTGTTTTCTGTCTCTATAGATTTGCCTTTCCTGGACATTGCATATGAATAGGGTCATATAAATATAGTCTTTTGCATCTGGCATCTTTCATTTAACATATTTTTTAACGATTCATCTATATTGAAACATGTATCAATCTTGGTTTCTTTTTATTGGTGAATAGTATTCCATTGTAGGACTATATTACACTTTGTTTATCCACTCACCAGCTGATGGACATTTGGGTTATTTTGAGTTTGGGGCTACAATGAATAATGCTGCTGTGAACATTTACATACATATCTTTGTTTGAACATATGTTTTCATTTTCCTTGGATAGATTCTTAGCAGTTAATTGCTGGGTTTACAGCAAATTGATGTTTAACTTTTTAAGAAACTACCAATGTAGCCAGGCACAGTAGCTCATGCCTGTAATCCCAGTGCTTTGGGAGGCTGGGGCAGGAGGATCACTTGAGGCCAGCACTTTGAGACCGGGCTGGGCAATGTAATGAGGCCCTGTCTCTGCAAAAAATGAAATTAGCTGGGCATGGTGGCATGCTCCTGTGGTCCCAGCTACACGGGAGGCTGAAACAGGAAAATCGCTTGAGCCCAGGAGCTCGAGGATGCAGTGAGCTATGATGGCGCCTCTGCACTCCAGCCTGGGCAACAGGCAAGACCCTGTCTCAAAAGGAAGGAAGGAGGGAGGGAAACTGCCAGTCTGTTATCCCAAGTGGCTATATCATTTTACATTCCCACCAGCAATGTACACAGGTTCCAGCTTCTCCACATCCTCGCCAACACCTGATACTGTCTGGCTTTTTGAAGATAGCCATCCTAGTGGGTATGTCGTGGTATCTTGTTGTGGTTTTGATTTGCATCTCCCTGATGACTAATGAGTTGAGCATCTTCTTATGTGGTTATTAGACATTCATTTCTCTTTTCTGTTGAAATATCTACTCAAATCTTTTGACCATTATTAAAACTGTGTCAGTCTGGGTGTGGTGGCTTATGCCTGCAATCCCAGCACTTCAGGAGGCTGAGATGGGAGGATCACTGGAGTCCAGGAGTTCAAGACCAGCCTGGGCATCATAGTGAGATGACATCTCTACAAAAAATTTAAAAATTAGCTGGGCATGGTGGCGCACACTGGTAATTCCAGCTAAGGCTGAGGCTGGAGGATTGCTTGGGTCCCGAAGGTCAAGGCTGCAGTGAGTTGGGATCGTACCACTGCCCTCCAGCCTGGACGACAGACACTACTTGTTTTTTCCCATTAATTGCCACTTCACCCTACACTGTCTTGTGGCATCTTTTATTCTGTTGTCTTCCACTGTTATTGGACTTCTGTAGCATTATTTAACTTTTAGTGTACATATTTTTTCTTTCCCCAACCTTGATTTTTAAACTCCTTTAAGAAGAGCACTTCTACCTTATTCGTTCTCTTCTATAGCAAGCCTAACAAATTACCCTGAAAATAATAAATCTTCAATAAATATTTGGACAGAAATCATAAAAAGCTCATTGTCTTTATGTAAATATTGTCAGCATATCTGGTATCATAATTTAATAAGTTGCCTTGAATTTTGTTTCGTTATTGCTTATTGTGTACATCAGAGTCTTTAGTTTTAAAATCATTTTTGAAGCCTCAGCACTTTGGGAGGCTGAGGCAGGAGGATCACTTGAGCCCAGAAGTTTGAGACCAGCCTGGGCAACAAAGAGAGAGCCTACCTCTACAAAAAATACAAAAATTAGCCATGCATCGTGGCGAATGCCTACCGTAGTGTTCCCAGCTACGGGGGAGGCTAAGGCAGGAGGATCGCTTGAGGCCAGGAAGTCGAGGCTGCAGTGAGTCATGTTCGTGCCACTGCACTCCAGCCTGGTGACACCAAAACCCAATGTAAATAAATAAATAAATAAACAATTTTGAGAAGAAGGAGTGTATCAGAATGTAAACTGGGACAAACAGATTTAATTATCAGAGAAATATTTTTTAAAATTCTAAGGAAACTCTAAAACATATGGTAATTAATATGTTTAAATAAAGTAAATTCAAAATTTTAGGCACTCCACTTTTTATCCAAATATCCCTGCGTACGTTAACAAAAACAGCAATCGCATAATTGATCAAAATGGGCAACTCTCTCAATATACCAAAGACTAAGTAGAAAGAAAACCAAACACCTCACCTATCACCAGTACTTTTGACCCAAAAGAAAAGATTTCAAATTATACATATAAACTTACTTATGTATAAGCCCGAATGTAAAACAAAAACAACTTCCCCTATTACTAGTAAATAACAAGAAAAAAAAAACTTTTGAGCCTTACTTGGAAGGATGCCAAAGATATACACTTGAGAATATTTTAAGGTAATTAGCATTTTTGTCTCTGTGTCAGTTAAAATAGGCTTTTGCCTGCTACTAATTTTCTTTGGGTTACTGAGACCATTGTATGAATGAAGGGCTGTTAAAGGCCATTTATATTGTGCAAACAGAGGCACAAATTAGAGAGGGCATGTTAATAAGGAAAGGGGGCTTATGAGTGCTCAATTATGAGCCCAGACCTGTTCCTATTTTAGAGGGATAGAAAACACATCAATCTTCCTTTTAGAATATTTTCAATTAAAATGAACAGCTCACGGCACACTAAGAGCCAGCAAAGTCTGCGGCCTTGTAGATTTTGAATCATTCTTACATATCATCTTAGTTTCCAAACTGATATACATATAATGGGCTGAAATATCATTTGAGATCCCAGAAGGCCAAGGTCCCTGAGCTGCATAAGAAATTCGAAAGGAAAAGAAATATAAAACTGGACCATCTGTTTCCCTTTTCAACATGCAACCTTTGGAGTAGAAAATTTGGAAGAGGATGCTATTTAAAACCTGAATAGAGATGAAATACAGTACACACACTCACAACATATCATTAACTTCCTCTCTCCTAAGCATAATCAATAGCGTCTGCAAGCCTAGTTCTGCATGTTAAAAACAAAGCACAATGTTAGCCGCACAGAGCAGCTCATGCTTCTCCCCACACAGAGACAATAGTGAGTCGTAATAGACTCACCAGGCAGACTCACTCTCCAGCCCTAGGCAGTGCCTCCTGCCTAATTGGCGTAAGCAAAGGGAGGCAACCACTCTGCACAGGCAAGTGTTTTGGGAATCTAATTCTAGTTTGCATGTGCAACTATATGTATGAGCCTGGTTTTGCCCCTGTGTTAGCCACTACTTCCAGTGGCCTGCTATCATGTTCCTGATATGTATTTATGAAAACATCGCAAGATATTGTCCCCAAAGCTACCTTTTCCCCTCTAAGAAATACCTATTTTGGATTTATAGCTAAGCGGGTAGCCAGTGTTCATATAATGTTCATAGAGTGGAAATACACAAAATAAAACAGTAACGGGTGGCAAGAATGAAGGTCTTTAGTCTCAGAGTAGAAAAACCACTATGCCTCAATACTATTCAGTAAGCCCAATGCTGAACTTCTGCAAACCATAATTGTATTGGATTTTTGGCCTTTCTTTTTCAGGTGGCACCAGTCCTCCCTCTTGAAACCTTTGTAACTATTAAGGTTGAAGTGCCATTTAAAGAAAAAGGAAGGCAAAGAAATGAGCTCTAGGAAGCCATGGTGAGTCATTTGTCAATGTATCCTTTCTTGAGCTGATTGGGGAAGCAGGCTTCAGGGTGATGGGATCATAGACTTTATTTTGAATTTGTCCATTATAACCTTAAAGCTTTCTTCAAGGGAAATACGTAGGGTTCATGTCTGATATATAACGTCTGTTGCTATGGAAAGGTTTATACTTAATCATATGACAATGTTCTCTTAGGGGTGGGGAAACTGGGTTATCAGTTCATCTTGTTTCAAAAATCCATATGTTTTACAGGATAAAACAAGACAAAAAACATGTACAGCACATGTTTCTGACATTAGAGGAAAATTTGAAAGGCCCTTTTTACATTGTGTGTATCGAGATGCCATTCTGCATTCAAAAATGCATAGTAGCCTCTTACTGCAAAAGTTAATGATAGAGATGTCAGTTAGTCACAGCATATTATCTAAGCTCTTCTGATATTTCCATCTCTAAACTCATGTCCATGTTGCCTTTCTCATTTCCACCCAAATGTCTGTTGTTGGCTCCACAAGAGAGCGGTCCTTTTGGCATATTATCTAGTGCTCTGTTCTTGGTGAACAATTTCACCACATTGTGATTGTACTATGAACGCTTGCTGTTCATGAGCCCAGCACTGTTTAAAATAGAAAGGTGGAGGCTGCCCTAATATTATAGTCTTGGCTTTTCTAGAAAAATGCAACAATTGTTCAAGCACAATCTAAACATTTTCAACGTTCAGATTTTTCTTTCTATTAAACATTGAACAGTATTGTTTGTTTTTTCACAGTAATACGTTGTATGGTGCTAACTACTGCGCTTGTATGGAAGGAGGCAGGAGCGTGGACTGTAGAGTCAGACAGCCCAGCTCTGCCGTGCATAATCTTGGGCAGGCTTCTTAACCTTTCTCTGCCTGTTCCCACATCTGTAACATTGGGATAATAATAGGACCTATTTCATAGAGTTGGGGTGGGAATTAAACAAGATAGTTCTGGTAAAGCACTTAGAATAGTGAATGACACATAGTAGGTAGGCAGTTAAGTGTTGGTTTATTACATTGTTGAATATCTTCATCATCCTACAATTTTTACTCTTGCCTTTCTTCTTTGTGTGTGTGTGTGTGTGTGTGTGTGTGTGTTAGACGGAGTCTCACTCTCTCGCCCAGGATGAAGTGCAGCGGTGAGATCTCGGTTCACTGCAGCCTCCGCCTCCCAGGTTCAAGCAATTCTCCTGTCTTAGCTCCCGAGTATCTGGGATGACAGGCACCCGCCACCATGCCTGGCTAATTTTTGTATTTTTAGTAGAGACAGAGTTCACCATGTTGGCCAGGCTGGTCTCGAACTCCTGACCTCAGGTGATCCACCCATTTCGGCCTCCCAAAATGCTAGGATTACAGGCGTGAGCCACTGCGCCCAGCCTGCCTTTCTTCTTGAATATGCAACTACTTCATTTAACTCAGAGAAATTTAAAGTAGTAGACTCTGGGATAGTGTTGAAGTATGTTTGAAAAATATGTGGAAATGAGAACTTTTCAGTGCCCCACAAACAATACTAAGAATCTAATTGATGACCTTCCTACATCTGTGAGGACAACTTTGCCCTCAATCTGTAGTGACTGTGATTCCCTTTCTGCCCACTGTCTCACCAAAAGCTTCGTTTTGGTTCTAGATGATATAAACATGAAAACAGTTTGTCCAGGTGTATACGTTTTATATATGTTTTAAAAATCTCTTTACATCAACTGCTTTCTCTTTTTTTTTTTTTTTTTTTTTTGAGACAGGGTCTCGCTGTGTTACTCAGGCTGTAGCACAGTGGTGCAGTCTCGGCTCACTGCAACATCCGCCTCCCAGGTTCAAGCAATTCTGGTACCTCAGCCTCCCAAGAGGCTGGGATTACACGTGTGCTGCCATGCCTGGCTAGTTTTTGTATTTTTAGTAGAGACGGGGTTTCATCGTGTTGACCAGGCTGGTCTCGAACTCCTGGCCTCATTTGATCCACTCTTCTTGGCCTCCCAAAGTGCTGGGATTACAGGCATGAGCCACTGCACCCAGCCTCACATCAACTACTTTCGTGCAGTGAGTCTTCCTTACTCACAGTTCTTACATGTTATCAAATGTAGAAAGAGGTTAAAAAACAATTTTGATAATTAACCACAATATATATAAGGCTTTACCAGTATCACAAGTTTAATAAATGTAGGTGTCTAGAGAAAGACAAAGAGCTCATCTTGTATACATCCAAACCGATGACCAAGGTTTCAGCCCAGACCTGGAATTCATTGTCAGTGTTTGGCATTTACCACAACCAGTGGAATCAATATTAGTAGGAACCTTTTCTTTATGCAGGACATAATTTGGTACTGTCAAGTCAATCTGGCTACAATTGAATGGAAGTTTTTGTTCTTTAAATGCTGTTTCAAAAACATTTTATTTATATACGATCTCTAGTGAGGTCAAATTCCCCTGTAAATATTATCTAATTTGTTCTCATAACATCTCTAAGTGATAGGATGCATTTGTCTTTATTATTAGCATCTGGTGTTAGGAGATTCACATTTACTTTGTTGGAAATCACCAGGAATAAATCTCATGTAGACACTAATGGAAAATATAATAGGAGATAAATACAGGTATGTCTGCAAATGAAGATATTTTCCCACCTTTGAAATCTGTTGACTAAAAAGATAAAAAGTGGAACAACTTATGATGATTGAATAGTAATAAAAAGCTGCATTTAATCTAAATCTCTCTTTCCTATGATTACAGCGTGCTAAATATTACTCAATACTAGGAAGTCTGCTGATGAGCTATGTAAATGTTTTCCAATAAAATTAAATAGATTAGATTTGGAAAGAGAATGCTAATGTTTTGAAGGCTTTTAGGGAGTCTTCTTTTAAAACTTTTCTGAAAAATATAATTTAAGACCATGTGTCATAGTTTCAATAGTCCCTAGCAGAGTGAATGCCATTGTTCCCGTGTGGGCAGAACAGGCAGAGGCAACCATGATGTTCGAGAAGTTCTTGTCATCTGTGATCCTTTATTGTTAATTCTCTTCATGTATTTTGCCCGCTGCTTTGTTTTGGTTGTCAAAGTTTGTTACTGAGACAAGACTAAGATCATCCTATTCTGACAGTCGCGGATTGACTTGGCATGATGCACCATGAGGTGAGTTTAATTGCTGTTAATATTAGAAGGATGAATAATCCTATTAAAAAATGAACAGTTATAAAAAAATAAATAAGTGGAGGCAAGTCTAGATTACATGAAAGAAAGACAGCTTGATGAGGGGAAACCCATTAACCTGAAAGGAGACAGTTCTTTGCTTCTAATTTAGCAGTTGTGAGCAAGACTGCATTCATACCAAATCAAAATGGAAACAATTTTTCTGTATCATTTATAGACTTAAATATTAAGTGTTCTTATACAAGGAAAAAAAGATCCTACTGTGATTCCTAATTTCTCATAGAATACCAGGATGCCGTGTTAGATGAGTTGACATTGTTTATAAAATACCAGGATGCCATGTTAGATGAGTTGACGTTGTTTATAGAATACCAGGATGCCATGTTAGATGAGTTTTTTCCCCAATCTTGTTCTTAGATATTATTACTGAGTCAAAAGAGGTGACTCTGCGTTAGGTCAAGAGCACAATACTCAACATCAGTGCTTCTCAGACTCGAATGTGCTGTGCATCACTGGGATCTTGATACATTGCAGATTCAGATTCAGAGGCTCTGGGTCAGGGCCTGAGATGCTGTACTGGAGAAGCTCCCAGGAGATTCCCACGCTGCTGATTCATGGCCACTCTTTGAGAAGCCAGGCTTCAGACAACTGTTTTATTTTATTATTTATTTATTTATTTGTTTGTTTGAGACAGGGCTCACTCTGTCGCCCAGGCTGGAGTGCAGTAGCGTAATCTCAGCTCGCTGCAACCTCTGCCTCCCGGGTTCAAGTGATTCTCCCGCCTCGACCTCCCAAGTAGCTGGGATCACAGGTGCCTGCCACCACGCCTGGCTAATTTTTGTATATTTAGTAGAGACGGGGTTTCACCATGTTTGCCAGGCTGATCTCGAACTCCTGACCTCAGGTGATCTATCCTCCTCTGCCTCCCAGAGTGCTGAGATTACAGGTGTGAGCCACTGTGCCCGGCCCAGAGAACTATTTTAAAAAGAACTCAGCCAGGCTTGGTGGCCCACGCCTATAATCCAAGCACTTTGGGAGGCCGAGGTGGACTGATCACAAGGTCAGGAGTTCGAGACCAGCCTGGCCAGCATGGTGAAACTAACAAAATACAAAAAATTAGCCAGACATGGAGGCACGCACCTGTAATCCAGCTGCTTGGGAGGCTGAGGCAGGACAATCACTTGAACCAGGGAGGCAGAGGTTGCAGTGAGCCGAGATCGCACCACTGCATTCCACCCTGGGTGACAGAGCAAGACTCCATCTCAAAAAAAAAAAACAAAAAACAAAAAACAAAAAACAAAACTCTGCACCCACACAGGGTAAGTTGTTTTGTCAAAGTCTGGGATGAGTGAAGACTCACGACCATAGGAGGCATGCCTGGAAGGGCAGACTCTCCAATCTCACAGCCAAATGCCACCTCTGTGCGCTGTGTGACACCTCCTGAGACACTGATGAGTTTCTTTTATCAAAGTCAAATTTGCCCATGCTAGGCTCATTATTTTAGGAAATTGAATGGCATCAATATAACAAAGTATGAACCACTTGTTCTGGAATGGAAATGGAGAGAACAAGGAAATTTAAAGTTTCAAGGACTCCTTTAAGGACAACTAGAAACACCAGGAAGACTGAAGCCAAAATGGAGCAGTCTGGAAAGGCAGGAAGTCTCCTGGTTTCCATCAGAGCTTTATTAGTGGTCTCCTTCAATCCCTTCTTTCCTTCCTTATGGTCACAGTTATTAGATGGCTACAGGAAACATGGGAATATTCTGTCTATATGATAGACAGCACCACTGAAATTCACGATGCCTTAGTAAAAGGAAGCAGTATGCTTCTCCTTCCTCCTCCCACAGACTAAGTTGTTAAGAGAACACAGCAAGGAACACACAGCATGCACATCTCAGCCATTCAGCCTGTGTCCAGGACATGCTATTTATTGGTGGTTACATACTGGTAAGATCACCCGACACCCCCCAGCGTGAAGTCTGGTGTTGTGGGCTCTTGAATGCATTAATCTTAATCAAACTTCAGATAGCTGAATAAGAGGGAGAACATTGAATTACTTTGAATAATTAAGAATGTATTTGA